>NC_000003.12:165523755-165675270 GCF_000001405.40 Homo sapiens | reverse complement strand
TACCTCAGCCTGGACTTTATTGTACATATCACTATCAGCATTTTGGGCAAAGCCATTCAACAAGTCTCTAGGGAGTTCCAAACTTTCCCAAATTTTCTTGTTTTCTTTTGAGGCCTCCAAACTCTTCCAACCTCTTCCTGTTACCCAGTTCCAAAGTCACTTCCACATTTTCAGTTATCTTTTCAGCAGCGCCCCACTCTACGGGTACCAATTTACTGTATTAGTGTGTTCTCATGCTGCTGATAAAGACATACTTCAGACTGGGCCATTTACAAAAGAAAGAGGTTTAATGAACTTACAGTTCCACATAGCTGGGGAGGCCTCATGATCATGGCAGAAGGCAAGAAGGAGCAAGTCATGTCTTACATGGATGGCAACAGGCAAAAGGAGAGAGCTTGTGCAGGGAAACTCTTATTTTTAAAACCATCAGATCTCGTGAGACATATTCACTATCATAAGAACAGCACAAGAAAGACTCACCCTCGTGATTCAATTATCTCCCACCAAGTCTCTGCCACAACACATGGAAATTACAGAAGCTACTAGATAAGATTTGAGTGGAGACACAGAGCCAAACCATATCACAGAGTTAGCATACAGGCCTTGCACTTGCAGCTACATGCCATACACTGCAATTGATAGGATTTACCACATTATTATTTATGTTTGTGGGAACACCAATCCTACACTTAGCCCATGTCATCATATTGCAAGTGGGTGGGTAAAGACGTAGGTGGTATCCAAATCTTAAAATTAACCTCAATTGACCTTCAAAAACTGGGCCATCTTAGTTTTCATGAAGCTTAAGCTGGGCGCGGTGGCTCACACCCGTAATCCCAGCACTTTGGGACGCTGAGGTGGGTGGATCATGAGGTCAAGAGATTGAGACCTTCCTGGCCAACATGTTGAAACCTCGTCTCTACTACAAATACAAAAATTATCTTGGCATGATGTCACATGCCTGTAGTCCCAGCTACTCAGGAGGCTGAGGCAGGAGAATCACTTGAACCCAGGAGGTGTATGTTGCAGTGAGGTGAGATCGCATCATTGCACTCCAGCCTGGCAACAGAGTGAGATTCTGTCTCAAAATAAATACATAAATAAATAACTTCTATATGTGCATCCAATTTCTGAGCATTTAAATCTATAAGGCAATATTGACAGATATGAAAGCAGAAATTGACAAAAAAAAAAGAGACTTTAATAACCTACACAATGACTAGAACATCCAGACAGAAAATCAGTAAGAAGCTTACTTGAACAACGCTATAGACTAAATGGATCTAACTGATATATACAGAGCTTTTCACCCAACAGCAAATGAATGCACCTTTTTCTCAAGCACTCACTGAGCATTCTCCAGGGTAGATCACATGTTAGGTCTCAGAATAAATATTAACAAATTGAAAAAAATAAATACCTCTCCAAGTAGCTTTTCCCACCAATACAGAATGAAGCTAGAATTCTGCAACGGCAAGAAAACGAAACAATACAATCACAAATATGTGGAAACTAAACAACACACTCTTGAACAACTATTGGTTCAAATAGAAAATCAAAAGAGAATTTAAAAAGTACCTTAAAATAAATAAAAATGAAAAGAAAATATACTAAATCCTATGCAAAACAGCAAAAGTGTTAATAAGGGGAAAGTTTATAATACAAAATGCCTACATTAAAAATAAAAACCCTAAAATAAAAATCCAATTTTATACCTCCGGGAACTAAAAAATAAGAATAAACTAAGCCCAAAATAAGCAAAGAAAAAGAAATAATAAGACTTAGAGAAGAAGTAAATAAAATGGAGAACAAAAAAGTAAAAAAAATAAGAAAACTAAAGTTTTTTTTTGAAAGAAAAACAAAATTGACAAACCTCTAGCTAAAGAAAGAGAGAAGACTCAAATAAATAAAATCAGAAATGAAAGAGGACACATTGCAACAGATGCCTCAGAAATAAAAGAATCATGAGGAACTATTATAAAAATAATATGTCAATATATTGAATAACCTAAAAAATTGATAAATTTTTAGAAATATACAACCTACCAAAGTTAAATCAGAAAGAAATGGAAAATCTAAATGGACCAATAATAAATAAGGAGATTGAATCAATAATCAAAAATTTCACATCAAAGAAAAGCTTAGGACTTTATGGCTTCATGGGTAAATTCTACAAAACATCCAAAAAGAGTTAATAAACTTTTCCCCAAAATAGGAGAAAACAGTTCCAAATTCTTTTTATGAGGTCAGTGTAACTCTGACACTAAATCAGGGAAAGATATTAAAGAAAAGGAAACCATAGGCCATTATCCCTGATGAGCATAGATGCAAAATTCTTAATTTAGTACTAACAAACAGAATTCAACAGCACACTAAAAGGATCATATACCATAACCAAGTAACCAAGATTTATCCTAAGGTTGCAAGGATGGTTCAACCTACACAAATCAATCAATAGGATACAATATGTTGTCTATTTTTTTCTTTTTTCTTTTTTTTTTTTTCTGAGATGGAGTCTCGCTTTGTCGCCCGGGCTGGAGTACAATGGTGACATCTCAGCTCACTGCAACACTGCCTCCTGGGTTCAAGCTATTCTCCCACCTCAGCCTCCCAAGTAGCTGGGACTACAGACACCTGCCATCATGCGTGGCTAATTTTTGTATTTTTGTAAAGATGAGGTTTCACCATGTTGACCAGGCTGGTCTTGAACTCCTGACCTCAGGTGATGTGCCCACCTTGGCCTCCCAAAGTGCTGAGATTACAGGCATGAGCCACCGTGCCCAGCCAATACAATGTTAACAGAAGAAAAAATGCATGATTATCTCAATAGATACAGGAAAAAAAAAAAAGCCAAAGTTTAACACCATTCATAATTAAAAGTCTCAATAAAATAGGTATAGAAGGATCTTACCTCAACACAATAATTGTTGTATATTAAAAGCCCACAACTAGCATAATTAATGGGGAACAAATAAAAATTTTCCCTCTAAAATCTGTTACAAGGCATTTTATTTCATCAGAAAGACGAAAAATAAGTATTGGCAAGGGTGTGGACAAAAGGGAACCCTTGTCCAGTTTTGGTGGGAATGTAAATTGGCACAACCAGTAGAACATTTGTATAACATTTCTTCAAAAAATTAAAAATAGAACTGTCTTTTGATTCTGCAACTCCACTTCTAGATATATGTCCAACGGAAATGAAACAAGGATCCCAAAATGATGTCTGCACTCTCCTTCTTTCAGCATTATTCACAACAGCCAATAAATGTCTCTCAACAGATAAGTGGATAAAAACAGTTTTACACATACACACACACACACACACACACACAATGGAATGCTATTCAACCCTTAAAAAGCAGAAAGTAGGCATGGAAGAAGTATGGAGTTCTTGGTCAAAGAGTAAAAAGTTTCAGTTATGCAAAATTATTGAGTCCTGGAGAGCTAATGTAAAATAATATATTGATAGTTAACAATACTTTATTGTATACTTGAAATTTCCTTTGACGGTAAATATCTAGTGTCCTTACCAAAAAAATTTAAAAAGCAATAATCTGAAGTGATGGATATGTTAATTAGTTTGATTGTGGTGATTGTTTCAAAATATATATGTGTAGCAAACCATCAAATTATATAATTTAAATATATACAATTTTTAATTGTCAAATATTCCTCAATGAAATTTTTTAAAACAATGTAACTCCTTTTCAGGCATTTTATTGTTATTTTTCTTAAATTTTAGTATAATTATATGTATTCCTTTCTATGTATAATGTATTTCACAATCTTATGTTAAGTATATTTAAACTCATGTTAAATATATTTCACTACTTTGGATCAACAGCAGTAGCACCTTCTCGAACACTTTATTTTTTAATACATAAGTCATTAATCTGGAGCATAAAATTTCTCCAACCAAGTTGTCAACACTAAAAGAAGAATTTCAGATTTCTACATGACATGGTTTGGAACAAAATAAACTAATCACCTCCTGCAATTTAATAACCTGTGATAACTCATGAAATGATGTTTTCTATTTGATGGATTATATATATATCTTCTTCCCAATTTAACTTTTACCATACCCAATGTCTACACCATAACTATGTCTTTATTTCTTAGATGCTCCTGTTTTCTCTGTGTATTAGTTGTCTCTCTCATTAAAGATAGTTTCTCAAAATCAGGTATGCCTCAAAATCACAGTTGTAATAATTGGCTCCACTCAGCACATATAGCATTTTCCTAAACTCAAATATACATCATAAACATATCTTCTCCCTCACACCCACCCTCACCTTAGTAAGAGATGAAACAAAATAGTTTAGTTTCTCTAACTTTTGTTTGGCAAAGGGTCGGAGCTGGGATACAACCCATATTCCACAGCGTGATTCTACCTCTTTAGACATAGGAATCCCTATGGTTAGACTATGCATGTTCCCTTAACTGTCATGCCCAATTCAACATAGTAATTAGCAGAATCAAAGTCTGGTCATGCCATGTTGGGAACTAGAGAAACATGAGTGAAGAAAGCCTCAGGTTAACTTTTTTATTCAAAATGGAAGATTGTTGAGAGCAGCTTATATTGAGAACTGGTGGTTCACTGAAAAGTTTCATTAGTTGTGTGAGGCATGTGTCAGAAAAGTAACCAAGTGCTTTGGACTGAATGAACTGTGTCCCTCTGTAATTCATATATCCAAGTCTTAACACCCCAGGTGTCTATAATGGAGACAGGACTTTTAAGAAGGTTATTAAGCTTAAATAAAGTCATAAGAGTGGAGCCTTGATCCTATAAAAAAAGAAAGAGGCACAAGAGATCTCTCTCTTTTTGCTGTGTAAGGACATAGCAAGAAGGTGATAGTCTGCAGGCGGGTAAGAAGGACTTCATCAGAGACTGAATCAGCCAGCAATTGATCATGAACTTCTAAGCCTCCAGAACTGTGAAAAAATACATTTTTGTTGTTTAAGCCAACCCATTTATGCTATTGTTTTGTTACGGCAGCCCAAGCTGACTAATGCACCATAAATAGAAATTGTAGATCAGTATTCATGGCAATCAGGTGAAATAACCGAGACCACAACATGGGCAGCAGATGCAATTTGCTGTTAACTCTGCCAGAAGGCATTTCTGTGAACCAGAGCTGCTTTGAAAGAGATGGGGACTTGTGTTCATTTGTTGCTGTGCAACATCTTAGTGTTGCCTCACTCTTGACAGAGAGATTGAAAATTTTCTGTACTTTGGATCAGGAAAATCTTTCAGATTATTTACTTTATCTTAATATTAGGTTGAATTAGTTATTTAAAAATAAAAAGTAGTTAAAACTAAAAAATCATATCATAGCCTTGGGAGATGAGGGAAAGTTTTGTTACTATTAAATGCAAGCAAAATAAACATACTTGTGTCAGGCACTAAGCTGGATGCTGAAAATACAGGGGTGAATAAGCAGAGTCCCTATTATTGAGTGTTAACACTTCAAAGTTTAGAATAAATCTGGGGATACAACTGCCTAAGAAATGAGTCAGACAGAAATGGTCCCAAGAATTAGTCAAATCAGAAAAGATGTTTACCTAAGGAAACCTTGGATACCAGAAGAGCTTTCTAAACTGTCATAAATAATAGCATGCAAAATGGAACTAAGCTTCAGAAATAAGGAGAGAAGTGAAAACAGTGATAAAACAGTGAGCAGTGTGTTTGGTGTTAGCTGATGAAGACAGAATCAGAGAGATCAGGCAGCATTCTGAGTTAAAGTGAAAAACAAGCTGCTTTCAATGTGGTAATTCCCAAAATCTCTGGGGTCAGAATGGTGGATTAAAAGAATAGTTCAGCTCTGAACTCTATTTTAGATATCATTGAGAATGTTTTACACTTACTTATGTATTTGTTCAACACAAAATGTTTGGGCGTTTTTGATGTGTGCAAAACCACATAAGGCATAAAATGGAGAGCCTACCCCTTAGGATGCATTTACTCAAATTGAAAATCTTTAATACCCCACAATGGGAGTAAACTTTTTTTTCTTTTCTTTTCTTTTCTTTTCTTTTTTTTCTTTTTTTTTACGATTCAGAGCCAGAAGGGATAAACCATGAATACCTAGTGAGTCCACCTAAAGATAGTTTCTAAATAGTTCTCATGGATTTCAGGGTCCAGGACCATGGAGGGAATAAAATCACGAAGTTGTTGTAGATGAGGAAGGAAATGACGCTTTTTGATGAATGAGAAAAAGCAACTTGACTTTCCTTTAGTATGAAAGGGACACGGTTTCAGATTGTTTGTGCATCACAGGTTCATGGAATGGAGCACTTCTAAGGAGATGGCAGTACCTTTACAGAGATAAATCGGATGTTCCTTTGGTGAATAATCAGCAAGGTTTATGACCCTTTAAGATATAAAAAGGTCACTTATAGCTGAATATGACAAGCAGAAGCACATAAACTAGCATAGCCCACTGGCTAAGGTGAAAAGTCAGGAAATAAAACCCACTTCAGTGACTTATTCTACTTCTTCCAGGTTTATCTGTGTTGTAACAAGCTGCAAGGTTTTCTTCTTTTTAAGTCTGAATAATATCTCATTGTATGTAGCTACCACATTATCTTCATCTATTCACTCATCAATGGATATTAAGTCTGTTCCCATGTCATGGCCTTGTGAATAATGCTGCAATTAACACAAAAGTGCAAACATTTCTTTGAGATTCTGATTTCATTTTCTTTGATATCTACATAGAGATAGGGTTGCTAGATTATGTAATGGTTCTATGTTTAATGTTTTGAGGAATCTCCATACTGCTTTTCATCATGGCTACATTTTACAATCCCATTAACAGTGTACAAGTGTTTCATTTCTCCACATCCTTGCCAGAACTTCTTTTTTTGTTTATAACAACTATGCTAACAGGTATGAAGTAACATCTCACTGTGGTTTTGATTTTTGGTTCTCTGATTATTAGTCACATTGAACATCTTTTCATATGCCTCTTGGCCATTTATAAATATTTTTTGAAGTAATGGCTATTCAAATTTTTTACCTATTTTTAAATTGGGTTATTTGTCACAAAAGGACAAATACTGCATGATCAACTTATATGAGATATCTAAAATAGTCAAATTCATTGAAACAAAGTCAAATGATGGCTGCTAGAGACTGAAGGGAGAAGGAAATGCGAAATAGCTATTCAATTGGTATGAAGTTTCAGATATACAAGATGGTTAAGTTCTAGAGATTTGTATAACTTTGTTCCTATAGTTAACAACACAATATTGCACACTTAAAAATTTGAGTACATCTCATGTTGTGTTCTTAGTATGATAAAAACCAAACCAAAACAAAAACCACTTCCGATGGAGCATCAGTGTCAGATTTTTTTCATAGCAGTATTGCATGACTGGAAGGAAAAATGCAGCTGCAGTGACCACATCTGGTAAACCCTATTGCCTCCAAACAGGTCCCTTGTATAGATCTAAAGATAGGTCAAAGTAGCCGACATTAGATTTCTCTTTGATTTTTGAAGATGGGTGCTCAAGTTGGATTTAATCTAGTTTCAAAGCAGATCTTTGCAACTGAGTTTTCATGAGAGAATTCCTTTCTGTACTAGGCATACATTTAATAAATTGATTGATCTCTTAAGCATCTGGAATGATCCTAGAAATGCATCTTCCATGGGATAAATGAAAATAATAATGGTCCTTAATTTTCTATGAACTGTGGCTGAAAAGCTGTTCTAGAGTTACAAATAAATATAATGTGCTACACAACAAAGTTCATACATGTAGCGTACAATTAAATATGCAGAGGTAGTGAATATTAGAGACTACATCAGGAACACGAATTCTTCCTTTTGACTACATCATCATGCAGCAAAATGGGTAAAAGACACATAATGCTTTTAAAGTGAGTGAAAAAATTTGACCATTATTCTTTGGGTAACTAGGAACATTTAAGTTTTTGAGTGGAGTGTCAGGAGGCTCATCTAGAGCAATAAGATCCTAATTCTCTATGGCTGCTTCTGTTTTCTTGTTTTTGGCAGACTTTCCCCTGTCCCCTCACAAACTGTGCTATATAGCCACAGCAGACTCAGTGACAAGAATCGTTTAACTTTGGAAAAGCCTAATGCTTGCTTTAATAATATATTGTAGAGGTTAACACAACTAGACACAATCGAAGTTACCTTGCTGTAAAGTTCTTTGAATCCAAAATCACTTATATAGGCTCCTTGAGATACCTATAAAACTAATTTCTTCTGTGTGACTAATTTTCTTCTCAGTCCCTTTTTTTGTTGTTGTTTTTTTGAGATGGAATCTCGCACTGTTGCCCGGGCTGGAGTGCAATGGCATGATCCTGGCTCACTGCAACCTCCGTCTCTGGGTTCACACGATTCTCCTGCCTAAGCTTCCCGAGTAGCTGGGATTACAGGCACATACCACCATACCTGGCTAATTTTTATTCTTATTTTTTATTTTTAGTAGAGACAGGGTTTCACTATGTTGGCCAGACTGGTCTCAAACTCCTGACTTCGTGATCTGCCCCCCTCGACCTCCCAAAGTGCTGGGATTACAGGCGTGAGCCACTGCGCCCAGCCTGCTCAGTCACTTTAGGCAGGTGACAAGCTTGTTAGGGAATCCTGTGCACTTAGGCTGATGTCACCCTCATTGAGCCCTTGCTCATAGTTTATTGGTAGGAAAATGGCATGGACTTTAACCAGTACTCAAAATTAGGTGATGATTCTTCCCTATTTCACCAAGAAGAGGGAAGTAATGGGATCAGAGCTCCACTTTAAGGGAGACTACTGTGATGAAGACCGAAGGAAGGAAAATTACATATAGGGACAGTTAGGAGGCATTTATGCTCTAATCAGGGAGATAGGAGCTGGAATTATAAACATATAAGAGAAGTGAATGCTTTTCAATGAGGATTTTATAATCAAGTTAAAGACCCAAAATGCATGCACAAACCAATTCATGAATACAATGTCTTAAAATCTAGCAACTCACATATTTGATACTCTTTCAACAGTAAAAGTTTAAAGTGTTCTTGATGTGTATATAGATAGATAAATATCTATATATAAATATCTATATATAAATATATAGATATATATTTCTATATATACATAGAAATCAGGAAAGAAAACAACTTCACTGTTGTAGTTGGCAAGGCTAAATTAATGAATGTATAGGATGTGAATTATTTTTCTGTATGAGAAAACATATAACTTGTTTTTATTTCTCTTTTTCTTTTTTTAAATTACCATTCTTGAAAATGTTTTTCAATGATAATCAAGAGTAAATGTTATTGCTAATTCTGGTTAAATTTGACACAAATAGAAAAATTTATATGAAGAAGAAAATGGACTAGCTTCTCTATTTCTTTTCTTCTTTGAATCCATCTTTATTAGGTTAGACATGGTGCTGGAAATTTACAAGTTTCCCATATGCTGCAAGAACCCTGAAGGTCAGAGCACCAGTACATTTTGGTTGGCATTAAATGTCACACTATCCCAGAACAGTGGGACTTTGCATTTGTATATTAACTCATTATCTGCAGGCAGTACTGATGGCGAATTTGCTCACAAACCATCTCATAGTGTAATTAAAAAATATTTAAGGAATTTGAAACCAAAGTAAGCATATAGAAAAAAATTCTAATTTGATCTATTTTCAATGAATAAATTAAAATTCCTCTATCTTAAATAAAATGCAATCTGAAGTTAAATAATAAATCTGGTGTAGAACTAACACTTTGTGGTAAACAACTTTGTACACAGCTAACTAAATATATGCATGTGTCTCCAAAGGGAAACAAGTGAACAAGGCATTTAATTCAAAGCAAATATAACTTTACAAAAAATGATTTACTTTAAATAGCCACCCAGTATTTCATTTCGGCTGGTGAAGTTCTGAGAATTCCATTGTTCTATAATTTTAATCTTGGATCCTAAAGTGCTGTGTAAATGTAAGTAACAAGTTAATACTTGTTTGGTTGAAAGCCAAAAACCAGATTTAAAAGGGTTGGAGAGATTCAGCTTGAATCTTCCTGTTGTCAGAATAAGTACTATGCTCTTCCCTCTGAAGCTCTGAACATAAATAGATATAGTGCTGGCGGGATCCTTGGAAAATTGTACAAGCATGATTATCCTCTTTAGAGGCCTTGGTGGGGTAGAGGGGGGTGACTGTCATCGTGGATCTCTTGATCCCCAGAGACGGCTGGCCTTTGTGAAGTCATAGCATTGTCTCTCTAATAACATTCACCTTAGCACCCACAAATTCTGTCCCAACTCTAAGAAACAGAAAAAAAACCTGAGCTTCCAAGTTAATATCCACAAGAATACCTTATAAATAGATTCAGATAATTTTTCATTTCAAATCCTATAACACTAATATCTTTTCAGTAAAATTCAACACTGAGTAAAAGTTGCATCGATGTTATAATTTAAATACATACTCTCTGTTTTAAAACAAAGATAACTTCAGACAAAAATTGTTTACATTAAATACCCATCCAGTATTTCCATTGCACTGGTGAAGTTTTGAGAATGCCAGTGTTCCGTAATTTTACTCTGATCCCAGAGTGCAGTGCAAATATAGGTAACAAGTAAATATCTGTTTGTTTGAAAGCCAAGAACCAGATTAAAAGAGTACAAATTGATTAGCTTACTAGAAAAGTAAAGTATTTCAGTCAATCAGTATTTTGTATGAAAATCTGGCAGTCCTCAGGTAATATCATCAACAGTTCACCATGGTTATAGTTTCAATCATTTGTTAAATTCATTGATTAATAACACACTTATAGTTTACAATTTTAATTATTTTTCTCACTATTTGTCCCTGTGGATATTTACAGTCAAAATTGCATGAGTTCCTTATAAATGGCTTGATATTGATCCAGAGAAAAAATTTGTACAAAATATCACTGAATCAAAATAAGCAGAAATAGTATGCCAGCATTTTGCTTTTTAAACTCTCTCAAAAATATACATTTTTTGGACTTAAAAACTACAGATTTAGGCCGGGCACGGTGGCTCACACCTGTAATCCCAGCACTTTGGGAGGTGGAGGCGGGCGGATCACGAGGTCAGGAGATCAAGACCATCCTGGCTAACACGGTGAAACCCCATTTCTAGTAAAAATACAAAAAAATTAGCCGGGCACGGTGGCGGGAGCCTGTAGTCCCAGCTACTCGGGAGGGTGAGGCAGGAGAATGGCGTGAACCCGGGAGGCGGAGCTTGCAGTGAGCCCAGATAGCGCCACTGCACTCCAGCCTGGGTGACAGAGCCAGACTCTGTCTCAATAAAAAAAAAAATAAATAAGAAATAAAAAGCAACAACAACAAAAACCCTACAGATTTAGTAGAATGAATTGGTAGTTCAACTACACAAAACAGGTAGTCTTCTAAATGTGAACAATGCATCCATAGAAAAACAACAAATTACTATAATTATATACTTCTCTAATTCAGGTGAGCAATAGTAATATAATTTATTCTCCTTCAACACAATATAAAAGCAAATAAAATTTTAATTTTGGACCACAAAATGAGTTATTTAATTGACATATAACTAGCAAGACTCTAAGAAATCAAAGTGTTTCATTATCTGTAATTATAGTTTGCAAAAACTTTATCTTGGCAACTTGGTAAAGTTACTTGGCTTTAAACTTTCATTTGAAAGGTGCTTTATTGAAGTAATTTATATGGGTACCTATAACCTCAATTTATATGATGTCTAATTTTTCTTGCAAGACTTATATCAAGTAATAATGTAGTACAACTATTCTCCTGCACTAAAAGATGTTGTAACAAAGTATACATATTTTATAGTATGTATAGGTACAGTAATTAAGCTATTACTGACAGTATAATATATTATATAATATCTTCTTTTGGACAAACTATAATTTTCTAAATACACACTACCAGGGAAAGTTTGATTCATCTTAAACAAATGGTTTATGTTAATCATATATACACTAAGAATCATCTCTCAACTGATTGTGTTTACCTCTGTATTTTAGCTTTAGTCATCTCAAGAAAGAATACAGGGGTTTATGGTATAGATTTTCTGCATTAACCTTACCTTAGGTCTCATCATATGGTGATGTCATGTTAGTTTTTCCTAATCCCATCATATTATCATATTAGCATTTCTTAATTAAATGGCATTGTATATAAACTCTCTCAACTGTTCCAAATTTCGTGATTTATTCACTATATATATATAATTTTTTTTTTTTTGAGACGGAGTCTCACTCTGTCGCCCAAGCTAGAGTGCAGTGGCTTGATCTCAGCTCACTGCATCCTCCACCTCCTGGGTTCATGCAATTCTACTACCTCAGCCTCCTGAGTAGCTGAGATTACAAGTGCGTGCCACGTCACTCAGATAATTTTTGTATTTTTAGTAGAGACAAGGTTTCACCATGGTGGCCAGGCTGGTATCAAACTCCTGACCTCAAGTGATCGGCCCACATCGGCCTCCCAAAGTGCTGGGATTGCAGGCAAGAGCCATCACGCCCAGCCTACAATATATATTTTTAAAAATTTCTACCTGCTTTATTGAGATAAAATTGACATGTAATTAACAGCTCATAGCTAAAATACACAGTTTGATAGGTTTTATTTTTTATATTTTAATTATTTTATTTTATTTATTTATTTTTTTAGACAGAGTCTCGCTCTGTCACCCAGGCTGGAGTGCAGCGGCGCAATCTGTGCTCACTGCAACCTCCACCTCCTAGGTTCAAGCGATTCTCCTGCCTCAGCCTCCCAAGTAGCTGGGACTACAAGTGCATGCCACCATATCCAGCTAATTTTTGTATTATTAGTAGAGACAGGGTTCTGCCATGTTGGCCATGCTGGTCTTGAACTCCTGACTTCTGGTGATCCACCTGCCTTGGCCTCCCAAAGTGCTGGGATTATAGGCATGGACCACTGCACCTGGCTCACAGTTCGATAGGTTTTGACTTAAGCACAGACCTGTAAAACTATGACCACAATAGACAGAGTAAATATATCCATCATTTCAAAAAGTTTCATATGCATTTGTAATCCTGCCTTCCACCCTGGCCTAATCCTTCATCATCCCCAATCACTTCTCTGCATTCTGCAATTATGCCTTTTCCCAGAGTTTTATATAACTGTAATCCCACACTATATATTCTATTTTATATTGCATATTACATCTTTCACTAAACATTATTATATTGGGATTCATCCTTGTTGCTACACATATCAATAATTGCTTTATTTTATTGCTGAATAGTTATCGACTGTATGAGCATAGAACACTTTTAAATTCATTTATCTGTTGGTGGTTATTTGGATTCTTTTTTCGATTTGGGACTATCACAAATAAAGCCTATATAAATATCAATACACAGATTTCCATATAAACAAGACTTTTCATTTCTCTTGGTTGATTACACTGAAGTGAAATGGCTGGGATATACAGTAGGTCTAGCTTGGACTTTTTAAGAAAGTGTCAAACTGTATCCACAGTGACTCTATCATTTGATATTCTCACCACCATGTATGAGAGTTTCAGTTCTTCACACCCTTGTCAACAGTTGTTATGAGCATGTTTCTTAGTTTTCGCCATATATAAAATGGGTAGTAATAAATAGATATGATTTAATTTGCATTTTCTTTATGACTAATGATGTTCAGCCTCTTTTCATGTATTTATTTGTCATCTGTATCTTTTGTTTTGTGAAATATCTTTTGTTTTGTGAAATATCTTTTGTTTTGTGAAATATCTTTTGTTTTGTGAAATATCTTTTGTTTTGTGAAATATCTTTTCAAATATTTTGTCTACTTAAAAAAGTTTATATGTATATATACAAATGCACACATATATACACATATGCACATGCACATGTATACATATATATCTGTATGCATATATATTTATTCAAAGTGTGTGTATGTATGCATATGTGTTTGTGTGTGTATATATTATACACTACTGAACTCATCTAAAATTTATTATGAGTATGATTCCAAAATATCTCAATACCATTTGTAAAATAATTCTTCTCCATTTTCTCATGCTTTCTTTGTCACATAATACATATCTTTATATAAAGGCTTGTTTATTTCTTATATAATTTCAACTTTAATTTTAGATTCAGGGGTACATGTGCGGGTTTGTCACATCCTAGAAGACAACCTAAGAAATACCCTTCTCCATATTGGTCTTGGCAAAGAATTTTTGACTAAGTCGCCAAAAGCAACTGCAGCAAAAACAAAAACTGACGTGTGTGAAGTAATTAAACGAAAGAGCTTCTGTACAGAAAAAAAAAAAAGAATTTCAACAGAGTAAACAAACAACTTATAGAATGGGAGAAAATATTTGCAAACTCCGCATATGACAAATGTCTAATAATCAGAACCTATAAGGAACTTAAATCAACAAGCAAAAAAAAGCAACGAATAACTGCATTTAAAAATTGGCAAAAGACATGAACAGACCATTCTCAAAGGGTCTGTGGCAAACAAACAGAGGAAAAATGCTTGTGATCACTAATCATCAGAGAAATGTAAATCAAAACCACAATGAAATACCTACCATCTCACACCAGTCAGAATGGTTACTTTTTACAAGTCAAAGAAATAAGGTTGAGAAGAAGAAAACACTTTTACATGGCCGATGAGACTATAAATTAGTTCAGCCACTGTGGAAAGCAGTCTGGAGTTTTCTCAAATAACTTAAAACAGAGCTACCATTTGACCCAGCAATCCCATTACTAGGTATCCACTCAAAGAAAATAAGTCACTCAACCAAAAAGACACATGCACTCATATGTTCAATGTAATGCTATTCACAATGGCAAAGATATGGAATCAACCTCGGTGTCCATCAGTGGTGGGATGGCTAAAGAAAATGTGGTTCATGTACACCATGGAATAATACACAGCCATAAAAAAAAATCACGTCCTTTGCAGCCTGTAGGTGGGGGTCATAATCCTAAGCAAATCACCACAAGAACAGAAAACCAAATACCACATGTTGTCAGTTATAAGTGGGAGCTAAACACTGAGTACAGATGGGCATAAAGATGATAACAATAGACACTGCAAACTACTAGCGTGAAGAGGGATAAAGAAGGTCATAGGTTAAAAAACTACTTATTGGGTATTATGCTTACAACCTGGGTGATGGAATCCATACCTGAAACCTCAGCATCATACAATAGAACCATGTAACAAATATTTTGCCTATTTTTAATGGGATTGTTTAGCATCTTTTCATGGAGTTTTGAAATCTTTTTACAAAAATATGTTGGGATGACTTGTCCTTTATAAAATTTATGCATTGCAAATAGTTTCTTCCAATATATAGGTTGTCTGCATATTCTCTTAACAATGTCTTTTGAAGAGCAGAAGTTTTTCACTGTTGAGAAAATCTGAATTATTAATTTTTTTCCTGTATGGATATTTTTGGTAAAATATGTAAGAAATATTTGCCTAACACAATATCACACAGATTTTCTCTTACTATTATTTCTGAAAATATTATAGTTTTGATTTTAACATTTTGGCCTATGATTTATTTTGAGAAAATATTTGTATAAAGTTCAAGATATGAATTAAAGTTTACATTTTGCATGTGAATATCCAATTATCTCACAACCATATTTTGGAAAGACTGTCATTTTTCTGTGTAATTTCCTATGCTTCTTTGTGGAAATCAATAGTCCATATATGCCACAGACTGAATGTTTACGTCCTCCCAAAATTCATATGTTGAAAGTTAATTCACAATGCGATGGTATTAAAGGTGGTGCCTTTGGGAGATTGACTAGGTCATAAGGACAAAGCCCTCAAAAATGGGGTTAATGCACTTATAAAGACACCCTAGAATGAGTGGTCCCTTGTCTACTTCTGCCATGTGAGGATGCTGCAAGAAGACAGCTGTCTATGAACCAGGAAGCTGGCCTTCCAGAAAACAGAGTCTTTTTTTTTTTTTTTTTTTTTTGAGATGGGGTCTAGCTCTGCCTTCCAGGCTGTAGACAGTGACACGATCTTGGCTCACTACAACCTCCACCTCCCAGGTTCAAGCTATTCTCCTGCCTCAGCCTCCTGAGTACCTGGGACTACAGGTGCCCGCCACCACGCCTGGCTAATTTTTGTATTTTTAGCAGAGACGGAGTTTCACCATGTTAGCCAGGATGGTCTCGATCTGTTGACCTCATGATCCACCCGCCTCGGCCTCACAAAGTGCTGGGATTACAGGCGTGAGCCAACACACCTGACCACAACAGAGTCTTAATTATGGTTGTACCAGTCTCCAAAACTGTTTTTTTACTCCAAAAATAAATTTCTGTTGTTTATAAGCTGCTCAGTTCATGGTAGTTTGTCACAGCAATTCAAATTGTTGTAGAAAATATATATTTGAGTCTATTTCTAGATTCTACTCTGTTCCATTGATGTATTTATCTATCTTGATGCCAATATCACACAGTTTTGATTACTGTAGCTTTATAATTCTCAAAATAAACTAGTGTTGGTTCTCCAATTTTGTTGTCTTTTTAAAGCAAATATCAGAAGCCTCTGGCTTCTTTCACACCTGTTGTCTTAAATATATAAAACCACTTTGTTTTGGGATTGATATGACTCTTAATCACTTAACCTTGATCCCATTTCTAGGTTTCTGCTTGTTTCTTTGAACAAATGACAAGTCTCTTTTCCTTAATCACTAACATTATTAAATATGCATTTTCCTGTTTAATCCATTTTATGGCAATTTTTGGTAATAACGCCTAGTGAATTTCTGGTCTCTGTTTTTTTGCTTTGTTTTGTTTAGTTTCATTTTTACAGGGCTTAATTCTGGTCTTAAAAGGAAATTCAAAAAATCTAACCCAACATAAAGCCAAAAGAAGTACTCTTTAAATTCTTACAATGTTAATTGAACCTATTTATAAATTATCTCTGGAATAATCTTCCTTTACTCACATGAACTATTATCAACCAGAAAGTGAAGGCAAATTTACATCAATACTTGCTGCCTTGTGGTTTGCCATTATTTATCAGACTGATTCAGCAAATTACACAGGTGTTCTCTTCCTCAGTACTGTTTAGCTTTTGTTCTGAAAATAAGTGATTGACCAACATTTCTAGATAGAAAATATTGATTTTTTTTTTCTGTCACGCTGGTGAGCTAGTGGCGGGACTCAACAAAAATAAGTCCTAAAGAATAAGAAGTGTGAGAGAATGCTAGATGAAAGATCCAGAGAAATATGAAAGTAAATAAGAAGCCATCTATTTGGAGAAAGGAAATCTAACTGTATATAAAACATCATGGTTTATACTGAATAGAGGTGTTGAAACCCAAGTCACGCAAGAATTTAACGCCAGGAATGAATGTAAGAGTGGAAGGAATGAGTGGAAGTCACGGTGTTGAAGGCTAATCTGTGGGAAGTTACAGGCCTATAATCAAAGTTTTATGATGGACATCAATATAATTGCTTTGAAGATAAGTGCTTCTCTGATCTAAACTCATGGATATATGTAAGTGTGTAAGGTAGATTGACATTATTTATTTAAATAATATAAGATTACTAGTTTTAATTCTCCTAACAATACTAATAGTTTAGGTTTTGTGTTTTGTATTTTGGTCTTAGGGCCTTTTTTGCTCTGCATTTTGATTGATGAAAATCACATTGTGAAACTTCTGCTTCTGGTCAAGTATACACACACACACACGCGCATGCACACACACATACACAGTAGTACATAATATATACTACATATACATGAATATAATAGTTATATATACATATATACATATACACACACAATGGTGTTCAGGGCACTAGACATGGGATATTAAAGGACTATAAAGATATTGGAAACAAACAAGATGAGCCCAATAATTGCCCCAGTTTACTCCTCCAGACATTTTATAGACTGTATGCAGGAAAAGATAATCCAGGCAGGCTTGGTAGTCTCCCTGAGTTGAGAAGATATAGCTGGGGGCCCAGGAAATCCAAAGTGGCTACACTTCATGGAAAACGAGTACCAATAATTAGAGAGATGCCAGAGAACCTCAGAGATCTGCAAGGTGCCCCCTCTAATATTCAGTTGAATATTTGTGCATGAGTTTAGGAAAGTCATTAAAAGCAGTGAAATGGTGGAGCAGGGAGGCTATCTAAAAGGCTTAGTGAGAATAACCTCGTGGTGACAAAATCTCTCAGCATTTGCTTGTTTATAAAGGATTTTATTTCTCCTTCACTTATGAAGCTTAGTTTGGCTGGATATGAAATTCTGGGTTGAAAATTCTTTTCTTTAAGAATGTTGAATATTGGCCCCCACTCTCTTCTGGCTTGTAGAGTTTCTGCTGAAAGATCTGCTGTTAGTCTGATGGGCTTCCCTTTGTGGGTAACCCGACCTTTCTTTCTGGCTGTCCTTAACATTTTTTCCTTCATTTCAACCTTGGTGAATCTAACAATTATGTGTCTTGGGGTTGCTCTTCTCGAGGAGTATCTTTGTGGCATTCTCTGTATTTCCTGAATTTGAATGTTGGCCTGCCCTGGTAGGTTGGGGAAGTTCTCCTGGATAATATCCTGAAGAATGTTTTCCAACTTGGTTCCATTCTCCCCATCACTTTCAGGTACACCAATCAAACGTAGATTTGGTCTTTTCACATATTTCTTGGAGGCTTTGTTTGTTTCTTTTTACTCTCTTTTCTCTAAACATTTTTTCTCACTTTATTTCATTAATTTGATCTTCAATCACTGATACCCTTTCTTCCACTTCATCGAATTGGCTATTGAAGCTTGTGCATGTGTCACGGAGTTCTTGTGCCATGGTTTTCAGTTCCATCAGGTAATTTAAGGCTTCTCTACACTGTTTATTCTAGTTAGCCATTTGTCTAATTTTTTTTTAAGGTTTTTAGCTTCCTTGTGATGGGTTCGAACATCCTCCTTTAGCTCGGAGAAGTTTGTTATTACTGAACTTCTGAAGCCTACTTCTGTCAGCTCGTCAAAATCATTCTCCGTCCAGCTTTGTTCCGTTGCTGGTGAGGAGCTGCGATCCTTTGGAGGAGAAGAGTCACTCTGGTTTTTAGAATTTTCAGCTTTTCTCCTCCAGTTTCTCCCCATCTTTGTGGTTTTATCTACCTTTCCTCTTTGATGTTGGTGACCTAGAGATGGGGTTTTGGTGTGGATATCCTTTGTGTTGATGTTGATGCTATTCCCTTCTGTTTGTTAGTTTTCCTTCTAACAGTCAGGTCCCTCAGCTGCAGGTCTGTTGGAGTTTGCTTGAGGTCCACTCCAGACCCTGTTTGCCTGGGTATCACCAGCGGAGGGTGCAGAACAGCAAATATTGCAGAACAACAAACATTGCTGCCTGATCCTTCCTCTGGAAGCTTCGTCCCAGAGGGGCACCCACCTGTATGAGGTGTCAGTGGGCCCCTACTGAGAGATGTCTCCTAGTTAGGCTAAACGGGGGTCAGGGACCCACTTGAGGAGGCAGTCTGTCCATTCTCAGAGCTCAAACACCATGCTGGGAGAACCACTGCTCTCTTCAGAGCTGTCAGACAGGGACATTTAAGTCTGCAGAAGTTTCTGCTGCCTTTTGTTCAGCTATGCCCTGCCCCCAGAGGTGGAATGTACATAGGCAATAGGCCTTGCTGAGCTGCAGTGGGCTCTGTCTAGTTAGAGCTTCCCTGGATGCTTTGTTTACCTACTCAAGCCTCAGCAATGATGGATGCCCCTCCCCCAGCCAGGCTGCCACCTCGCAGTTTGATCTCAGACTGCTGTACTACCAGTGAGCAAGGCTCCGTGGGTGTGGGACCTGACAAGCTAGGCGCGAGATATAATCTCCTGGTGTGCCATTTGCTAAGACCATTAGAAAAGCCCAGTATTTGGGCAAGAGTGTCCCAATTTTCCAGGTACAGTCTGTCACGGCTTCCCTTGGTTAGGAAAGGAAAATCCCCCGACCCCTTGCCCTTCCTGGGTGAGGCAATGCCCCACCCTGTTTTGGATCGCCCTCTGTGGGCTGCACCCACTGTCCAACCAGTCCCAGGTACCTCAGTTGGAAATGCAGAAATCACCCATCTTGTACATCTGGGAGCTGCAGACCAGAGCTGTTCCTATTTGGCCATCTTGGAACAGAATCAATCGTTATAAAAATTTAACATTCATAAAGCATTAAGAACACATCTACAACACAGAAGCACTATTGGTTTGTTAAATACATGTATCAGAAATTGCCACATTTTATTCTCAGGATTTTTATTAAAATATTATTTCCACACATTGTATAACTAATTATATTATTGTTGCTTTGTTAAAACATACCTAATGAATATATTTCTTGAAATACTGTAAAAGGAAAATAGATTATAATTATTTGACTTCTAAAAATGCACATCAAATGAGTATTGTTATTTTAGGACAATCAATGAGATAAATGATGAACTGAAAAATAAAAAAAAATATTTAGTTACCTACAAAATATTTATCTCTAGACAGTAGACAGACCCTTAGAGCGAATGCTCAAAATACTTTACAAGTGAGAAGTAATAAGGAAACTGGATTGTGTAGAAGAAAGATGGAAATATGAAGACATGTGATACTCAATTTCTTGCCTCATATGCTTTCAGCAAGGTCTCTAGAATAGTTTTCATATTAGGAAGGAATTAATATATTGTAAACTTTCTAAATTCATGACAAACTATGAATAACCATCCAATGAGCATTAATGGGCAGAATGTAAATATCTATTATAGTAAATAATTCCCAGATACCTTAAATGTGATTACGCCACAGTTGGGGAAACCTCAATTTGTGCAACTATAAAAATTAGGTTCAGATACTCCCTAAATTGATCTATGAATTCAATGCAATTCCCAGCACAATCCCACCTGACTTTTTACACAAAAAAATGACAAGCTAGTCTTCAAATTCATATAGATATGCAAGGGAGCCAGAATAGTCAAAGCAAGCAAAAAAAATTTGAAATTTTCACGTTTCCTGATTTTAAAATTTAGGACAAAGCTACAGTAATCAAAATAGGTATAATGATCTATAATTGACTTATAGATAGATCAGTGGAACATAATTGAAAGTTCAGAAATAAATCTTTACCTGAGGTGAATTCATTTTCAGTTTGGGTGCCAAGACATTATTTCAACAGGGAAAGAATATCCTTTTCAACAAATGGTGCTGGGACACCTGGATGTGTAAATGGAAAAGATAAAAGTTAGATCCCTACCTTATACCATACACAAAAATAAACTCAAAATGTGTTGTCACCTGACAAGTTTTTCCTGCCCACACAGTAAAACCAATTCACCAAAACCATGGTATTGCAGTAAAAAAGAGTTTAATTAATACTAAGCTAGCCACATGGAAGACAGAGTTTATTACTCAAATCAGTCTCCCAAAGACTAAGAGGTTAGAGTTTTTCAAGGATAGTTTGGTTGGCAGAGAACTAGGAAATGGCTGTTCCTGATGGGTTGGGAATGCAATCATAGAGACATGGAAAATGGTCCTTATACACTGAGTTTGCCTCTGAGTGAGGGACACAGAACCATTTGAGTCAGGAGTCATGGAACGAGGTGGGGTCAGTTGGTTAGCAGAATGCAAAAGTCTGAAAAACACCTCAAAACACCAGTCTTAGATTTTCCAGTAGTAATGTTATCTGTAAGAGCAATTGAGGAAGTCATAAATCTTGTGACCTCTGGCCACATGACTCCTGAGTAGTGAGGAATTATAGAAACTATGTTTACATTTTAGCAGAATTCATGCCCCTCCTATAATCCTAATCTCATTAACTTTACAAAGGCAGTTTTTGGTCCCTGAACAAGGAAAGAGTTAGTTTTAGGGAGAGACTGTAATCATCTTCTTTGCATCAAAGTTAAACTATAAACTTAATTTCTCTTATGTTCAGCTTGGCCTATACCCAGGAATGAGAAGACAGCCAGTCTGTGAGGGTAGGAGCAAGATGGAGTCAGCCATGCTAGACTTCTCTTACAGTAATAATTTTTGCAAAGGCAGTTTCAAATGGATTGAAGATCTAAGTGTAGGAGCTAAAACTATAAAACTTTTAGATAAACACATAGTTATAATTCTCTGTGGCCTTAAATTAGGGAATGTTTTCTTATATTTGACATCTAAAGCACAGGTAACAAAAGAAAATTATATTTGACATCAAAAGCACAAATAATAAAAGAAAAAAATAATAATTGACTTTATCAAAGTTAACATTTGTGCTTCAAGGAAGCCATCAAGCAATAAAAAGACAACCATCAGAATACCAGAAAATATTTGTAAATCAAATATATGGTAAGGATCTCAAATTCAGAATATATAAAGAACACTTACAATTCAATAGTAAAAAGAAAAACTCAATTTTAAATCAGGCAAAGAATTTGTGTAGACATTTGTTCAAGGAAGATACACAAATGGCCAATAAGCACATGAAAAGGTGTTCAATATCACTAGTCACATGGGAAATGCAAATTGAAGCTATAATGAGAAACCACACCATACGCACTAGTGTGGCTGAAAAAAAAAGAGTCAGAAATTTGGAACCCTCATACATTGATGATGGAAATGTAAAGTGGTTCAGCTGCTTTGTAAAACAGTGTAGAAGTTCCTCAAAGATGAAACATACAGTTACTCTATGACCTATCCATTTCCGCCCCTAGACAGATACCAAAAAAAAAAAAAAAGAAAGCATATGCCCACACAAAAATTTGGATAAGAATGTTTACAGCAACATTATTCATAATATCTAAAAGTTGGAAACTGCCCAAATATCTTTCATTTTAATTTAATAATTAAAATTTGGTAGTTCTATAAAATGCAATAATATTCAGCTATTTAAAGAATGATGTACTGATTCATGCTACAACATGAATGAACCTTGAAACCCTAATACTAAGTTAAAGAGGCCAGATACAAGCGATCATATGTATGACCTCGAATTTAGATCTTAAATTATATACTAAGTGTTTATAACTGTATTTATATATTATTTTATACACCTTTATCACTAAAGACTCTCTAATTGGGATACTCAAAATCTGTTTATAAGTGTGAGCATATGAAAGATATTTGGGTGGTTTCCACCTTTTACATATTATGAATAATGTTGCTATGAACATTCTTATCCAAGTTTTTGTGTCGACATATAATTTTATAATTCTATTTATATGAAATGTTCAGAATAGGTACATCTATAGACCCAGAAAGTAGGTTAGTGGTTGCTAGGGGCTGAGGAGACAGGTGGCTGGGAGAAAATAGGAAGTGACTACTACTGGCTATGGTGTTTCTTTTGGAGCTGATGGGAATATGGTAAACCTAGATGGTGGTAAAGGGTGCATAACTCTGATTATACTAAAAGCCATTGAATTGTATACTTGGAATGAGTTAATTGTATACTATATGAATTATATCTCAATAAAAGCTATTTTTTACAAAGAAGAAATTTGAAGACTAGTATTCGTTTTCTTTTTTTAGAGTTTGTTTTGTGTCATTTATTTTTCTCATAAAACTACAAACATGCTTTTAAAATTTTTGCTCATTCTTATAACTAGATTTTGATTAACCCAATTACAAAATCTTTAGTGATAAAGGTATATAAAAAAGTATAAATATACTTATGAACTACTTATGAAAATTAGTATATGAGAGTTAAAACAGATATTAAATTTAAGTTGAAATTTAATAAATAAAAATGAAAAATAAATAGAATAAATCCAGCTCATTTATTTTAATATAAAATTATTTCTTACTTTTTAATTATTTGGAAATTATAAAAATATTTTCAAAATCTAATACATTAAAGCCACTAAAAATGTTCTGAATTGTCCTTCATGGAGAAGCATATATAAATAACACTCCTCATTTTAGACAATACAGATTTTCTCTTTTACTGCTTCATATAGTAATTTCTTTTCTTAATTATTCTACTCTCTTAGTTAGATGGTTCTCAGTAGGGCTTGATTTTTGGCAATATATTTGGAAAGACTGACAAAACTAGATAAATATTTCTATCTATTACAATTAGTGACATTAAATCTACCAATACCTCAAACACTTAGAGAAGTGAAGTCTTTGAAACTGCAGTTGAGCTCTGTGTATTTAAAATGCTGTATAACTTATATATTTTTACAAATAAACCTAGTTTTGTGTAAAATATTTTAATTTTAAAATACCAGTGTATTAAAATTTTCAATACATTATCAGATATTTGTATCAGAATTATGAATATTAATTATGAATGATGAATATATATTCAATACTATTTATGCATGTATATAGGTCTTAAGTACAAATTTGTTATTTTTTCTCTATTGCTTTTGTAGCATTTTCATTTTTTAAAGAACTAGAATACTTGTGTATAATTTTTAGAGTAACAAAAATAAAACATTAACACTCATCACACATTGCAAAATAAATAAAGAAGTATTTAAATTACACTACATATTATGGTTCTAAAAAAATGCTAAACTTGGAGTGATTCTAGCCTGGTTATTTGACCTTTTAAAAATTACCATGATTAAGATGAATGACTTTTTCCTTTGTTATATTGTTCAATAACTTACTAATATAGCAGGCCCCCAAATGTTTAATGAAAGATTCTTAATTTACTCCACAATGGTACATCAGCCTCTTGCTACAGAACTGCTTATTTCTGAGTTGACTCTTCCTGAAAATAGCAATCACAGAAGCAGAAAATTGTGTCGACTTTATTCTTCTCTTTACTTTTAACCTAACATTCTCTAACAATTACTTGACAAGTCCTGCTGATTGTATTTCTTCTGTTTCATGGTCAATGCTATCATAAGATTTTACTCTAACAATTTACACTATGAAATATAACCAGGTACATAGTCATGAAGCCCTGTTTTAATAGTGCAGATCTTTCTATTATGCTTCTAAATTAATGTGAGTCTTTCATTAAGAACTTTCCACAGTGTGATGTTCACCTATCTTTGCAATTTTAATCCTAAAGTTCCCTCAGAGGAACCATATGTCCATATGTCCAACCAAATTTAGCTAGCGATGTAGGTTTATATATACATACATCCATAAAACCTGCTCTACAAACTTCTTTCTCTCTTCTGTTGCCAATATTTCTCAAAGAAAATCTACATAATTATAGTCTAAAATATTGGTCGTTATCAATTAACCATTTCTGCCTCACATTTGGTATGGCTGTGTATATTTACAGTATAACCGGTTGCTCCAAGCCAAGCATGGCACAGGTGAAATATAATTAATATAATTCAAAAGTATTAGGACTTTTTTTTTTTGAGATGGAGTCTCGCTCTGTCGCCCAGGCTGGAGTGCAATGGCACAATCTCAGCTCACTGCAACCTCTGCCTCCCGAGTTCAAGTGATTCTCCTGCCTCACCTTCTGAAGTAGCTGGGGCTGCAGGCATGCGCTACTGAGAGGTGACAGCGTGCTGGCAGTCCTCACAGCCCTCGCTCGCTCTGGGCGCCTCCTCTGCCTGGGCTCCCACTTTGGCGGCACTTGAGGAGCCCTTCAGCCCACCGCTGCACTGTGGGAACCCTTTTCTGGGCTGGCCAAGGCCGGAGCCCCCTCCCTCAGCTTGCAGGGAGGTGTGGAGCGAGAGGCGCGAGCGGGAACCGGGGCTGCGCGCGGCGCTTGCGGGCCAGCTGGAGTTCCGGGTGGGCGTGGGCTTGGCGGGCCCTGCACTCGGAGCAGCCGGCCGGCCCTGCAGGCCCCGGGCAATGAGGGGCTTAGCACCCGGGCCAGCGGCTGTGGAGGCTGTACTGGGTGCCCCAGCAGTGCCAGCCCACTGGCGCTGCGCTCGATTTCTCGCCAGGCCTTAGCTGCCTTCCCGCGGGGCAGGGCTGGGGACCTGCAGCCCTCCATGCCTGAGCCTCCCACGCCCTCTGTGGGCTCCTGTGTGGCCAGAGCCTCCTCCACGAGCGCCACCCCCTGCTCCATGGCGCCCAGTCCCATCGACCACCCAAGGGCTGAGGAGTGCAGGCGCACGGCGCGGGACTGGCAGGCAGCTCCACCTGCAGCCGCAGTGCGGGATCCACTGGGTGAAGCCAGCTGGGCTCGAGTCTGGTGGGGACGTGGAGAACCTTTATGTCTAGCTCAGGGATCGTAAATACACCAATTGGCACTCTGTATCTAGCTCAAGGTTTGTAAACACACCAATCAGCACCCTGTGTTTAGCTCAGGGTTTGTGAGTGCACCAATCAACACTCTGTATCTAGCTGCTCTGGTAGGGCCTTGGAGAACCTTTGTGTCCATACTCTGTATCTAACTAATCTGATGGGGACGTGGAGAACCTTTGTATCTAGCTCAGGGATTGTAAACGCACCAATCAGAGCCCTGTCAAAACAGGCCACTTGGCTCTACCAATCAGCAGGATGTGGGTGGGGCCACATAAGAGAATAAAAGCAGGCTGCTGGAGCCAGCAGTGGCAACCTGCTGGGGTCCCCTTCCACACTGTGTAAGCTTTGTTCTTTCACTCTTTGCAATAAATCTTGTTACAGCTCACTCTGGGTCCACACTGCCTTTATGAGCTGTAACACTCACCAGGAAGGTCTGCAGCTTCACTCCTGAGCCAGCGAGACCACGAACCCACCAGAAGGAAGAAACTCTGAATGCATCTGAACATCAGAAGGAACAAACTCCAGACGCGCCACCTTAAGAGCTGTAACACTCATCGCGAGGGTCCGTGGCTTCATTCTTGAAGTCAGTGAGACCAAGAACCCACCAATTCTGGACACACTACCACACCTGGTTAATTTTTGTATTTTTATTAGAGACTGGTTTCACCATATTGGTCAGGCCGGTCTTGAACTCCTGATCTCATGTTCCAGCCGCCTTGGCCAACCAAAGTGCTGGGATTACAGGTGTGATATTATTCTTATTATTAACAGAGAGATGTGGGTCAAGAATGTTCTAAAAATATGCCCTGCCAAGAATTAGGACTCTTTAGCAGAGACAGCAAGGAGAAACAAGTCTACCTTTTCCCAGGCTCACCTTTATTCCTTCCTGGTCTCATTCCTCAAAAGAAAGATCTAGCACAGGTCTTAGACCCAACCAAGAAAAATGAACTTCCTTACTAAATATTTTAAAATCATTTTCACTTATGTTTGAAATTTTTCATAAACATTAGTTTAAAATTTGTATAAGAATCCATTTCACTTAAATTGTGTTTATTGATGAAAATGTGGAATATTTCCAAAGTCTAAATATGATGACTATTTTAAATAATATCTTTGGGCATAATGTTTTTATTGTATTTTTGTTTATTTCCTTAAGATTCTAGAAGTGAAATTAATGAGTAAAGAAATATAAATAATTTTAAGACAGAGAAATCTTACAGAATATTCTTATAAATAATCTGCTGACTTTAAAAAAATAACTGCTCCCATTCTGGAAAATCTACATCAGTTATGCTGTTGAATTAGTCTAACATAAATACGTTTACATTTTTTCTCTGTGTCTCTGAGATAACAGACAAATATATTTCTTTAAGAAAATCCTTGAAAGTCTTTCCACCCTACCAGAGACTATTACAGAGAGGCTGTAATGTAACGGATGAGACAAAGCTGTGGTTCTTGGATATTAGCAATTTCACCAATGACTCAAAAAATAAAAATAAATAAAACCTATATTCTAGCACATTATAAACAAAAACCCACTTTTTTTGAAGCTCGTATAGGTTTCAGGCATGGTCATATTATATTTATCATTGAAGCACACTAAAATAGCACTAAAATAGCAATAGTGTCATCAGGAGTAAATTTTATAGGTTTGAATTTAAAAATAATTCTTTCAGTAGCTAAAAATTACAGCAATACTGTTGGACATACATTTTACTGCTACAACATACAGTAACTGCTATAGAAGCAATAAAAATTGCTGTATTAATGTTGAGTATAAAAAGTTAATGTGAAAAAACAAGTCTGGCAGTCAAGTTGCAATGAATCAGAATTATTTTCAACTGATGATCTGAAATGTACAAGGCAAAGCATTATGGATTATTCTGTTATAGATGGTAGTGAAAACTCAAGATAGGAAAGAGTGGAATAAAGCAAAATGCACAGTGAGAAGCTGGCAACAGGAACCTAGGGAACCCATTTAAGGAGGGGCCAGCAATGTAAAAGCAGTGACAGAGACTGAAAATACACCTAAAAGTTAGAAGGAATACCCAGACAGTATAGCAGAGACAGTTGATGTACAATTATATACATACAAGTGATTTCTCTTCTCAGTTCTGTTTTCCATCCAATAATTATCTCTCCTTCCTGTGAAGCCCTGTGTCTTCAGGAGAATCTATCTCAAGCACAATTCTCAGGTGTGGGCATTGATTCTAACCAGTCATTCCCTTCCTTGACTAGCATCAGGATCACTCGGAACTTAGGAAAAAAAAAAAGAAAAAAAGCAATTCTCAGGGCCCATTCCAAAGGTTATGTTTTAGTTAGTAAGTAGAAACACAGAACATACTCTATTTTTAATCCCTGTCCTGCAAGAAGCTCTTAAGAAAACAATTTGATACATAGAAGCAACTAAGTTCATTAGAATGCCTGAGTTTGAAAGCGAAACACAGGATTTTTAAAAATTTCTCTAGGTGAATCTAAAATACAGAAAGGGTTAGAGCAACTTTTCTAAAGTAGAATTCTATACCCCTTTAAAAGGATCAATTAAAAAATATATATATATGGCCCAAATTAGCCAAAAAACAACAAAGAGAAATTGCTGATAGCTGGAAAAAAAAAAGTTATGTTTCAGGAGAAATATTTTCTGGAATCAGACTGTCCAATATGGTAGCTACTGGTCACATGTGGCTATTGGGTACTTGAAATGTAGCTAGCAAAGCTACTAAATAAAATTGTATTTAATTTAATAATTTAATTTGATAGAATAAAATTTTCTTAAATTTTATTTAATTTTATTAATCATAATTAAATTTAAAAACTGATACTCAATTTCATTATTGGAAAACTTTTAAATATATTTGAAAAAACTTTGAAATAGAATCCACTTTTTCATCTACATATATTTCAAAATATGCACTTTCATATGTATATTTAGCATGACAAAGGGAATGCACAATATCTCAATAATTTGATTATGTAGATTATGGGTGGGAATAAGTGTTTTGATTATGTTGGGTTAAATAAAATATATTATTGAAATTAATTTTATCAGGTTCTATTTACTTTTTTATGCATGTTTTCTAAAAAATTTTAAATTATATTTGTGACTCCCATTATACTTCTGCTGGACAGCACTGGCTAGATATAAGTGACTGCAAGGCATGTGGCTGTCATAGTTATCTTACCACCAGCATGAGGTTGCAATCACAGAGTATGGTAAAGTCAAGCTAAGTGCAGAGAAATTGAACAAGAGCCCTGGTGGAAATTCACTGATTTTACCAGGCTGCCAGACATTTTCAGTTATTTCTCCAGCCTTCCTGTATTAGTTAGCTGTTGCTGCTTCAAAATTTACCCCCAAACTTCGTGGTCTAAAACAATAGACACTCATTATTTTATTGTTTCTGTGGAGTGGGAATCTAAACATTCCTTGGCTAGGCACTGCTACCTCAAGGTCTCTTACAAGGCTGCAACCAAGGTGTCAGCCAGGCCTGTGGTCTCATCTGATGGCTGGGCTAGGGGAGGATCTGCTTCCAGGCTTACTCATGTGGTTGCTACTAGGATTCATTTCCTTGTAGGCTATTGGATAAGAGCTTTAGTTCCTCACTAGTTGAGGAATTAGCCTCTGGCCTCTTCAGTTCTTTGCCGTATAGGCCACTGCATAGATCAGCTCACAACATACCAGCTGGTTTCCTCAGAGCAAGCGAGAGAGCAGGGTAGGAAACTCAAGATGGAAGCCACCATCTCTTTATAACCTAATCCCTGAAATGATATCCCATAAGGTTTGTCATTAAATCCATTAAAAGTGAGTCATTAGGTCCAGTCCAAACTTGAAAGGAGTTATTACATAGGGGAATGAATATTAGAAGGCAAGAATTCTCAGAACCATTTTGGAGCCTGCCTATCAGTTTTTCATGCACTTCATCTCCAGCCTTAGAGGTGATTACTATCCTGAAAGTGGAAAATAATATTTATAGGCAAGTTTTCCTGCTTTTACCTCAGATTAGTGAATTCATAAATAACATTCATTGTTTTGATTTTTAAAAGTTGTATATATATATATATAACTTTATACATATGTATTTACAACTTATTTCTTATTTTCCTCCCTCAAAATTATGTGCATAAGTTATATCTATGTTGTATTTGATGTTGATACTGGATAATGTAGTTTATATATATACTGGATAATGTATATATATAAGTTTATATAAGGTACATTATATAATGTACCTGCTATATAATATTTTATTCAATGAATATGCCAGTTTATGCAGTAAATATTAAGAAATAGTTACCCCCATATTTATTCTATTACACAAAGTGCTACAATAGACAGTGTTCTAAATCGTCTCTGTGCATGTATGAGAGTCTCCCTTGACCCAAGATTACTGGGATATAAAGTCTACACAACTTCAAATTTATTAGATATTGCACAATTGCTTTCCAAAATGTTAAACTAATTTATCAACTCACCTGCAAAGTTACAAGTTTTTGTTTCTCTAGCACATGATTTTTAAAAACAATTTATTATATTTAACTACATTTTTCATTCTGTTGGCTATAAAATCATACGGTTTTAATTTGTGTTTCCCTGATTACTCAAGAGGTTGTGGATATTAAACTCACTTCTACATGCAAATTTTGGCAGAGTTTTTTCTCTGAGGCTTGTTTAAATGCTTCATCTCTTTTCTCATCAGCTCCTTATGATTTCTTTGTTGTTTTTTTTCTTAATCATTGGAGCTTTCTATTATTCTTGTTACAAACCCTTTTATCCAACATATGGGTGAAAAAAATTTCTTTCCAGTATACAATTGGTTTTTATTTTTTATGTTTTGTGTCTTAATTAATACAAAGTCTTAAATATTAATGTGCTAAACTTATGGTAGTATCTCCTTTATGGTTTACATTTATTATATCTTGTTTAAGGAAATATTCCTATCCAAAATGTACTAAAATATTCTTTTACTTTCCTCTTCTTAATAAATTATCCACTTGGATAATATCCACTTCTGTTTGCATTAGCATTTCTAGGAATGTGTTGGCAGGAGAATTTTCAGATTTACCTTTATCTTTTTGCCTGAACCAGAGACAACCCATGTTAACTTTTAAACCAGCCTGTGATTTTTCAATTACATAAAATCTAAAGCATACTTAATTAAATAATAGAAAAAAAGCAAATAATTTAATAAAGAATATGGTATTCAACAATTTAAAGTGTAAAGGAAAGCTCAAGAAACACTGTATTTTGTGACCTTGGTGATAACAGGTTTAGGGAGTAGTTTGTATGGAAACCAGACATCCATGAGTTGAAAACTATACCAATCTCACTAGGACAATTCTCTGAATATTTTCACCTCTCAATCTTGAGAGACTGAGATTATTCTGTACTACTCATCTGACCACAGTGGGGCCAGGAAATATAATGTAGGATATAATGTAGAATTATACTTCCTGGTTCCACTGTGGTCAGATGAGGTCATATGACTGCTTTTAGCTAATGAGTTATGAGAGTAAATTACATGTGCTGAATATTTTCTTGTAACTCTAGCGCTTTCTCCCTCTGCCAGAGCCACAAGCACATTTTATGGTGTGCTCCTTCGCCAGAATGAGTCCAGGAGTGAGGAGACTGGCAGAAGCAAAAAATGAACCTTTCTCATTGCAAGCCATTGAGATTTTGGAATTTATCACCACAGCATAACCTAGCCTGGTCTGATAACATATAAATTGATACAAATGAAGTGTAAATTCATGTCCATTAGTAGAAGGATGGGCTAGATTATGCTGTAGTAACAAACCATCTGATAATTTAGCATCTTTTAAAAGGAAAGCGTCATTTTTATCCTCATGCACGTGTCCATTATAACTTAACTGTGGGCTTTGCTTCATACTTTTCTCACTCTAGGCCTCTGGCCAAAGGAGCAGTCACTGTTTGGAATATTGCCAGTTGCCAGGGTAGAGGAAAATAGTAAGTGATGAATCATACATAAGCTGAGCTCCTTAAGCCTGGTATGACACATATTAATTCCACACATTTTTTTGTTTTGTTTTGTTTTAGTTTGGGTTCCCCAGCTGACAGTTTATGTGAAAGTGATATCAGTAGTAAGTGTTATGCAGCTAAAACATGTACGAAATTGGAGAAATGGAACTAAAAAGAAAGAAAGCCAAGTAGGGTTGCACTATCAAGCAGAGTTCCCTGAAGAGTACTTCCGGCTCCATCATCAGGTCATCAGGGCCACTCAGGAGACTGGGGAAGTCAAACCTGAAAGTTGTCCTGACCACAGGGCACAGAAGGCACAGAACCTGCATTATTCTACCCCATCATTTGTCAGTTAATTTTTAAGATTTTTTATGTGGTGATGTAAAATGCTCAGCTTTTAAAATTTTGGTGGCCCAGTAAGAGACACAGTCTATATTTTGGCAGAGAAAAACATGTGAGCCTTTGTACGCTAAAATAGCAAATGGATCACGGGGTGAGGCGGTGGGTACACTGACAGCTCTGATATGTGTTTCTATGGCTGGGCACAATATACTTAGGTTTAATGAGGCAAGCTAGTACCATATTAGCAGAAGGAGGGAGAAGTCACAATAATTAGTGAATGGCAGTAATGACAACTACAACAAAATGGACAGTTGAATAGAAATAATAGAAGCGTTCTTAGAAAAAATTATTTGACAACTAGCTGCTTCCAAGAAGGAGCAGAGGCAAGAAGGGAAGAAGAGGGGGGATAAAAGCAGAAGAAAGACAAAATATGAGAAAGCAGAGGTTGAAGGAGGGTTTTTTTTTTAAAAAAAAAAAACACTAAAAGTCCTCCGGAATTTGTAAATGCTGTTATAAAGTTTTAAAATGTCAATATGGGAGATGAGTTTGAAGATGTAGGTAAGAAGAGGTAATATATGAGAAAAAGTATTTCAGGAAACACAAGAAAATGAAATCAATTGTGTTGATGAAAATTTTATTTTCACAACATGGACAGAAACCATTTACTTAAGTAAGAAAAACAAAGAGTAGTAAGACTAATTGGGCATGAAAATAAAACTACAGGCATCAGGCCAGGGAAGTAAGGATTAGCTCAAGTGCTGTCATCCCTTTATGTTTCTGAAATAAAATCACCAACTCATTTCCTGAATGGGTGGAAAGAGGAAACCTGGGAGTAAAGGTGAGTTTGGGGTGAACGCTGAGGGGAATGTATAAAGTGTATAATAACAGTGAAAGCCAAATGAGGACCCAGATCATAAGTTTAGGGTGAAATCGACACACAGGTCTCCTCTATACATTGAACAGATCTGGTTCTGTTGTGGAGAAGGGTGTTGCAGGGTGGTGGTAAAACATAGCAATACAGAAACGAAATTCATATTTTGGCCAGAGAGTGATTAAATTGAGTTATTTTATGACATCATCTTGTAAGAAAATGAAGGAAGCCGGAGAGATCTGAAAGATAAGAAAATGAAGGAAGCCAGGAGAGATCTGAAAGATAAATAAAGTATAGAGAGTTGGGGGCTTGATATGAACAAAGATCAGCCAGAATAGAGCTAATGGAATAAAAGGCCTGCAAGGAAAGAAATTGTGTACATGTACACGGTTGAGCTCCTGAATTTCAGGGATTCTGCTGTTTAGAATGATAAGAAGATTTAGTGTATGGTATGAAATTATGTTAGAGAAATTTTGAGGTTAAGGTGTGGTGTTGGGCACTTCATTCACATGTACAATTTGGTTTAGATGATAAGGTGACCAAGAGATAAAATATAATGTAGTTGTAATTTTGGAGCACAATATTCTATAGCACAAAATGCAGTTTGTTGTTGAAACACCGCAGTTAGAACGCTGATCTCTAAAACAATGTCTAAAATTATAAATTGTGATTAATACTATCTCTCTTCCTTACTTAGCTAGTTATTATGACTAATCATATTCATTATCTTGATAATTAGACATCATAATGAATGTGAACTCTTATGTAATGTGCAAAGTGCTGGGCAAATAGTGTGTTGCCCAACTACATTGTGTACTTAAAATCTTACATAATGGCAAGCATAATGCAGCACATCAGAGCTGCCTAATGTGTGGTAAATTGAATTGAACCAATATTTGAAAATGCCAGATATCTTTACCCTTCCTTAAATGCAGTGTGATTAGGGAAAAAAGAGGTAGCTGGCCTCAGATCATACAGTATTGATCAATGTTCTCCTTAGATAAACAAGTATAATTTGAGGTAAGTTACTATCTGTCTTTGTCTAGGAAATACAATTGAATAGTCAGCAGGAAAACCAAACTGCAACTCCATTTAAGTAATAAGACACAGCAGGAAATGATATTGTTACATTAAACACCCTGAAGTGAGTTAATGTGATTATAATGCGGATTCTTTAAACAAACCAATTATAATATGCACAGGTAATAAATTATTATCACTATTAGTATGTGAAGCTAATTCTTTCATTTTCTATATTTCTTATATATGCACATTTAAAAATACTTCTTAAAACATGAATATTTGTATTTTACTGTTCGTAGTTCATCCCACCAGACAGGCTTTACTCTTCATTCAAGTATTATTTCTTTCATTCACTTATATGAAAATACTTACCAATAAGGCTATATGTGGAATTTAAATATAATACATTCCTATACATGTAGTGCATGTGTGTGTTTTAATTATTTTGTTAAAAGAAGTCACATTACAACTACATTAACTCATGGGGAAGGAAGGATTCTAATATGACAATAGTAGAACTTGCTATGTCTTATTATTTGAAAGAAGATGGCCTCAAGGAGTTTGTAAAACTCAGAACAATAACTAAATGTCAGGAAAAACATGTTTCAAGCATCACAGAGAGATAAAACTGGAGTATACACATGGAGATTTAGAGAGTAACAAATAATATTTCCTTGGAAGAATGCAGGAAAGTTTCCTAGAGAAGATACTATCTTAAAAGAATTTTGAGGGATCAGCAAAATTTCTACAATCAGAAATTAGAAGAGTTGTCAAGAGAAGATTATACAGTTAAGCTCGTCCTGAATAAGTTTGGAAAGTAATAAGCATCCTGTTTAAAATTATTTTTTAATTAAAAATAAAATGGAAATATTCTCACAGAGTCTTTTCATGAATCAATGCATATATAATTTTCAATCAATTGTTCAAAAAATATTCACTAAGCATTGATCCTGTTCCATGCAAATGGAGAGAGCTCAAGGTAGCTTAGTGTACTAGTGCTGAAAAAAGAAAAAAAAATCAGATTTGTAATCTATATAGAATTAATACTGACATTTTTTGCTAATGGACTAAAAGAGTATAAGTGAAATTAAGAATAACTACAAGGTTTTGATTTCACCAACTGAATGGATGGTGCTGCCAGTTACTGAGAAGGAGGATTGAGATCAAGAATTTGTAGACCTGTTAGTCCAAGATACCTGCGACCCATTTCTTATATAAAATTCTATAATAAATATATTTCTGCCTAGAAATATTTCTGCATTTAGGGAGCTGTCGACTTGAATGGATCTATCTCTTTTACCTCTGAAGAACTGGGAACTGAAGTGAGCTTGTTCTAGTAGCTTGGCTGACTATTCTAACAATGCATCTCTTTCCAGTCTCTGTCATTTCTACATTAACAATGAAACAGGTCAGCATGCGTCCTTTCCAGTATATATTAAACCACATAAAAAGTTATTGGCTGATTTCTTTAAAGTCTCTTCCCTCAGATTTGGGTAGCAAAGTCAACCATATGCCTCCCTCCCTTAAACATCTATAGAGAGTGATATCCTGCTTCACTAAGTTTTTCCTGAGGGAGGTGACTTCCTTTCTCTTGTCAAATATCAAACAATTTGGCCACTGTTAAACCTAGAGTAAAACTGGTACTCTTATTTTGAGAAATAAGCCTCGAGAAAGTTAAGAATTTTATTTTCCACATGATGCTTTCTATGTTGTAAACACTGCACTATTCAACAATTCTAAAAGCCCAAAAATACTGCTTTTAGTTTCTACCTGGGGTTTTTCCTTTGTTTTCAGAAAGTGTAGATACCTTTAAATAAATAGTTATTCAAAATGTTGCATCATTAACTATTTTTTACTGGCTAAATAAATAAATTAGTCTATATAGTAAGATAATTATTACTAACTGCTCACTCCTCCGTTACTAGAATTCACTGTTTCAATGATACATGCAGTTTTGGCTTCCAATTCTACTTTTTTTTTTTTCACATTTAGAGTTCATTATCACCTTGGGTTATGATTATCTGATCTACTCAACACTTTATCCTCCCATGACATATACACACACCAAAAAGTAGAGCAACAACAAGAAAAACCTGTCACTGGTTTGATGGAAGGCTCCCAACTTAAGTGTGATTTTATTTTTCCAGTACTTGCTATCAGATGTTCTCTTTAGAATCACCCTTTCTCATGGGTTGTAATTTTTCCTTAATAATACATTAATTTAATTTCATAAATTTTTCATCATACTTAAAAGTTTGAACTTATTCCTAATAGTAATAGACAGTTATTGATGAGTGTTAAGGTAAGGAGAGACATGACATATTTCGTGTACTGGAAAAATTAAGTCAACTTAGTGAAAGAATAGGCTTAGAGATATGGAAAAATATTAGTTTAGATATTTTTTAAGTCAAGGAAGGTAAATAATGTTATGTAAATTTAAAAATATGATACAGAAAGTTGAGAAAACTGAAAGTTTTACAAATGTAGGCAGTAGAATCAACAGAAATTGGAGACCAATTGACTGTGCAAAGTAAGGGAAAGACAAATGTGGATGCAAGGACAACACCAGACTTTTGACTTTGACAGCTGTGTAGATGATATCGACAATGACTAAAACTGACATTCAGAAAGAAAAGCAAGGGAGAAAATGATGTCAGTGTTAAACCGTGCTGTTCCTGAGCTAACGGTAATGTTTGGTATTCAGTCGGACATGTGAGTCAGGAGCTCATTAAATAAATGTTGTTCGGTTATCTAGATGAAGAAATCATTAGAAATGATAAAAATTGCATCATAAGAGGATGTGCAACAACCCTGAATTATAATAATATATGAGAGAAGGAAAAGGATTGCATAAGAAATCTGATAAAATGTAACATAACAAAAAGTGAGAACTGCCTTTCTGAATGTAAACCAAAATAAGTCGGATTGGAAAGTAAGTCACAATATATAGGGTTAAATAAAACCCATCTGATGAGAATTTATGGTTTGTAGGGTATGACTCCCCAGACTCTTTAGACAGGAATTTGGGCAAGAGAAAAAACTCAGAGCTTAGTCTTCAGTAATAAAGGTGTTATGTTATCACACAAGATAGTGTTAATTTTATAAATATAAAATATTTTATATAAATATAAGATAGTCAAAAATACTGTAAACTGTTTTTTTTGACATAGTGAGAGATAGGGGTCTAGTTTCAGTCTTCTGCATATAGCAAACCAACCCAAAGCTAGTGAAAGAAAACAAATAATAAAGGTAAGAGGAGAACTAAATAAAATTGAGAAAAAAATAACAAATTAAAAGCTGGTTCTTTGAAAAGATAAACAGAATGGATAACTCATTAGCTAGACTAACAAATAAAATAAGAGAGGATCCAAATAAGCATAATCAGGAATAAAAAAGGAGACTTTACAACTGATACCACAGAAATAGAAAAGATCATCAGAGACTAATATGAACAGCTATATATCCACAAACTAAAATGCCTAGATAAAATGGATAAATTCCTGGAAACATACAATCTTCCAAGATTGAACCAGGAAGAAATAGAAATCCTGAACAAATCAGTAACAAGTAGTGAAAGGAAGCCCAGGACCAGAAGGATTCACAGGAAAATTCTACCAAACATACAAGGAAGAACTGGTACCAATCCTCCTGAAAATTCCAAAAAATCAACGAGGAAGGAATTCTCCCTAATTCAGTCTAGGAAGTAGGTTTCACCCCAATACCAAAGCCAGACAAGGACACAACAAAAAAAGAAAACTACATACCAATATGAACATAGATACAAAAATCCTAAAGAAAATACATTTTGGAATATGCACACATAAGCTTACATTTGTTTTGCTTCCAAATTGTGTCATATCAAAGGTGGCAAAACTATGAACATCCATATTCATTGATTAAAATAATTATTTAGAGGCCCGCTACTTCCCTATAATTATTGCATTTTGCATAATCTGGATTTATACAATTGGTTTACATTTCTCCTTTAACATGAATAAATTTATTTTTTTATTTGTATTTATTTATTTATTTTTGAGACAGGGTCTTGTTCTCTCATCCAGGCTGGAGTGCAGTGGTGTGATCACAGCTCACTGATGCCTCAACTACCTGGGCTTGAGGAATTCTCCCACTTCAACCTCCCACGTAGCTGGGACCACAGGCATGCACCACCATGTTTTTTTGTTTTTTGTTTGTTTGTTTTAATATTGTAGAGGCAGTGTCACTGTATTGCCCAGGCTGGTCTTGAACTCTTGGGCTCAAGCAGTCCTCTTGCTTTGGCCTCCTAAGGTGCTGGGATTATAGGCATAAGCTACTGCACATGTCCAGAATGAAAGTTTAAATTGAAACTTAAACTTATCTTTATTTTCAGCTCTCTGTAGTCTGAATGTGGTAGACTTTCACAGTCTCTGGGCACAAATTAGATCCCATTAATGATTAATCTGAACTTTGGTAACTCCATAGTTACATCTGTGTAATTGTAGACTCCCAGACTGTCATTTAAGGTTCACCCTTCCAGTGTCTCTGAGAGTATTTAGAAGTCTTTCATGTGTTCCTGGTCGATTTAAATTAGCTGCATATACTCCTGCAATAACAGTACCTTTGACATTGCCCTGACATACCCGCAATTATATCACCCCCACAGTATTTCTCAGGACTACCATTGCTCCAACAGAAGGGTTTGCCCCTCAGGATGCTCAGCTCCTGGTTGTGTTCCCAATATTTTTTGTAAACCACAGTCTATGCCCCTGACCTTTCATTCCATTTCATTCTTTTCAGGCAACTGTTCTGCCTTGAGCTAGATTCCGGTTACTAACACATAGCCTCTTGGGCCCTTCTGTGAGGTTTTCCTGCTTCAAGTACCCTTCTCTACACTTCCCTGTAGAGTTCTCCAGTGCTATGTCTCATGATAGTTTTACTTTTTTGGACCCAGACATGATTGTCTCCAATATTACTCACTCTTCTCTCCAATATTCTTCTCCTGATGAGTCATACTATTCATATTGACCATAATGTCTTGTCTTTGTTCTCGTAGAAGTAAAATCATTCTATTCTATGATTCCAAGGAGCATTGCATGATTCTCAGTTGTTAGAATTCCTTAATTTACAGCTAGGTCATTACTTTTTGTTTGTTGTGTGTGTGTCTGTTTTAAACAGTTCCAAGAATACGGATGTGCTACATGAGTTTAGATCAACGGTAAAGTCAAGTATAGTCACCATGTTCTCCCAGAAGCTACTTCTACCCCTGGCCATGTTGCTTTTCCTGAATTCAGATTCTGTTAACCACAGTGGATTTATTCCCAGAAATCATATTGATTCCAAAATTTTAGTTTTTTCGTATTTCCCATTATGCCTTCCATCAAAGTTTAAACAATGCCTTTCATAGATATTCCTGTATATGACAAATGCCAGAATGTGGACAAAGCTTAATTTAGTTCCATGTAAATGTTGGACCTGAATGCAAATCATTCATTGCTACCAGATCCTGAAGGTAGAATATATTAACCAATTTTACTTGCCAACTTTATCTGAATCTGTTTTATTTCAGGTATGAAGCCCTGTAGTATAACAAATTCCATTTTATATAACTCTAAAAACCCTGAGCTCCTTTAATGCAAGAACTGGGTCATAAATATTTCTACTCCTTGCCATCTTCAAATTTTAGCATAGCATATACTCATAAGGCAGCATATATATTTTCTGTTCACATCCAATTGGTTAGAACTTTGTAACATTACCGTATCTTGCTACAAAGTATGCTGGAAAATAGTAGTTTATATTCTGTATAGACATAAGTTTTACCAACTTTGAAGTTATATTTTTGTGTGAGAGAAGGGGAGAGTAGGTATTGATAAGTAAGTAGTGATCTCTTCCACAGAGGTCAACTGTATGTGCTTTCTTGATGATGTGTGAAGAAATCACACTAAGAAGACATGAGCATTGGATAAATTTCCCCCCCAAAAATAAATAAATACTCCCAACTCTCTTCTCCATTGATAGAAGACTTGCTTGGATATAAAGAAATAAAGCTAATAGACGAAGAGCTACTTTGAGAAAGGATTGGACAAAATAATCTTTATAACTCTCTAGGAATATCAGTTATTTTGAGTTGGACTTGAGTAGTAAGAATTCTTGCTCCCCTTATATTCTTAGGTCCACATTGTTGATAACACTTCTTACACCCAAAAAACAAAATGATCTCTATTTTCTTTATGCCAGAGGCATGAGAAATTGATTGATTTATTAATTCAACAAATACATCAAAGCACCTACTATATATGCTAGACACTAGGAGAAACAATGGGAATAAAACAACCCTGAAATTTAAATATACAAAAAAAAAGTAAAGAAAAAATAACCATGATAATAGAGGGTTTTAAAAAGACTTATGAAGAAAATAAATAAAATATTTCAACAGAGAACATTGTAGAATTCTGCATTTGGTATGATAATCAGAAAACCTCTTTGGCTAGGGGATACGTAGAGAAAATCTGTTTGGTAGATCGATGAATGTTACACAGCTTCATTGTGGTACACAACTCGGCTTTCCTGGGTCTGAGAGTAGGGCGTATATGGAACATATACATCTGCCATCTAGGATCTCTTAAAGGAGCCAATGGCATCACCTAGAAAGTGGGACATTTATTATAGGCACCACTCAAAATAGATGCTAGGCAGAAAGCCACAAAATTATCACAGGGACCCTTGCTATTGCAATTAGCCCTTTAATTGCTAATTGTGAGGATATCTGGGGAGGCCCAAATAAGGAGCCTGCAGATCAGAGCAGCAGTGGAGCACTTGAGGGGGTTGGGTCAGTAGCTACTTGCCAACAGGTTTGGGAATATTTTATATTTCACAAACCAGTTATGTAGTACCAGTGCATCTTTGCTGAATGCCAGCTCTGAGCATAAGGAACATTATGGGCAAAGACCTTGAGGCTCAGAAAAAATTAAACTGTTTGAGAGGCAGAAAGAAAGCCAGTGTGAATGGAATAGAACAATTATGCAAAATAACATACAAAGTGGAATGCAGGTGGAATGCAGGTGCCAAATTGGTACGTTTTTACTCTGTAGACTAGAGAGTAATCATTAGTGCTTATTTTAAAGGAAAAATGAATGTTCTGAAAAGTTGTAAGCAAAAGGTATGTCTAAAAAATTGGACGATGGAAAGAACAAAATGAATGAAGCCACTTTAGAAGTTGACTATGTATATCAAGTGGGTGATGGTGATGGCCAGGACAAGGATGATGACATTAAAGATAAGAATAAATTGTTTAAAGAACTATTTAGAAACTAGAACAGACTGGAATTTATTCAATTGGATGTACAGTGTGAGAGTAAAAGAGGAATTACAATGGATTCCTAAGTTTCTAGTTAGGCTACATGGTGGTGTTAGAAAAAAAATACTGGGAGAGAAACAGGATTGCTTTTGAAGAGAAACAGGTTTTTTCTTGATTTTGATATTTTATCTCTTTTCCTTAGTGTACATTCCACTGTCTGTGAGTGTTATGTTATAATTATCCTGAGGAGACTTTAATACATTGGCTCGATCTCTCTGCTTGGCATCACTAAGTTTAAAAGTGGTTAAACCACTTTGGGATTCTGAGGCGGGTGGATCACGAGATCAGGAGATTGAGACCATCCTTGCTAACACAGTGAAACCCCATCTCTACTAAAACTACAAAAAATTAGCCGGGCATGGTGGCGGGCACCTGTAGTCCCAGTTACTCAGGAGGCTGAGGCAGGAGAATGGTCTGAACCTGGGAGGCAGATCTTGCAGTGAGCCAAGATGGCCCCACTGCAATCCAGCCTGGGCGACAGAGTGAAACGCCTTCTCAAAAAAAAAAAAAAAAAAGTGGTTAAACATTTTGTTTCTTAAGGTATGATTATGTTCTCAAAAGACCATAAAAATTCCCCAGAATAAAACTGAATCTATGAATTTAGAAGATATAGACAGCTAGATATATTATATATAATATGCAATATATAATTTACATGTTCATGTTTCTGTATGTATGTGTGTGTGTATGAGTGTGTATAGATACATTTAAATGCAAAAAAACATTCTTTGGTGGTTACTCCAAGGAGTATGGGATCAACACTCCTCAAACAAAATTGATTCAGATGCCTAGCCTGATGATGCCAAACATGCCTCAAAAGATTACAAAAGGATTTCTTACTCACATAATGAAATTTTCTGGAGATAGAAGGATGAGCACCCAAATCAATCCACTGGGCTTGAGCAGAGAGAGTGGATTGGGCCCTTATAGTGACTAGAGGAATGTTCTGGGGAAATGTTCCTATGCACCCACAGGGAATTTATGGGCTTCAAACTTCCTGCTAGTGACCAGGGAAGAAGCTAGTGGGTTTTAAAATCAGCTTGGCCTAATGTGGAAAAGAAAGAAAAGTAAAGCTATCAGTGGTCAAAAATGTAGCCATATCCTTTATTATAAATCTCATTGCTAGGTTTTAACATGAGATCCTATATAGCCTTAGTTTTAGAAACTCTTGACCATAAAATAAACCCATAAAATAAAATTACCTTGCAAATAACCAACTGTATTAGTCCATTTTTCACATTACTGGTAAAGACATCCCTGAGATTAGGTATTTTATAAGATAGAAGTGGTTTAATGGACTCACAGTTCCACATGACTGAGGAGGCCTCACAATCATGGTAGAAGATGAAAGGCTCATCTCACATGGTGGCAGACAAGAGAAGAGAGCTTGTGCAGGGAAACACCTCATTATAAAACCATCAGATCTTGGGAGACTTATTCACTACCATAAAAGCAGCACAAGAAAGACCTGCACCCATGATTCAATTACCTCCCACTGGATCCCTCCCACAACATGTGGGAATTGTGAGAGCTACAATTCAAGATGAGATTTGGGTGGGGACATAGCCAAACTGTATCATTCTACCCCTGGCCCCTCCCAAATCTTATGTCCTCACATTTCAAAAGCAATCATGCCTTCCCAAGAGTCCCCCAAAGTCTTAACTCATTTCAGCATTAACTGAAAAGTCTATAGTCTAAAGTCTCACCTAAGACAAGTCATGTCCCTTCTGCCTATGAGTCAGTAAAATCAAAAGCATATTAGCTACTTCTTAGATACAATGGAGGTATAGGCATTAGATAAATACATCCATTCCAAATGGGATAAATTGGCCAAAATGAAGGGGCTAAAGGCCCCATGCAAGTCCAAAATCCAGCAGAGCAGTCAAATCTTAAAGCTCCAAAGTGATCTCCTTTGACTTCATGTCTCACATCCAGCTAACACTGATGCAAGAGGTGGGTTCCCCTGGTCTTGGGCAGCTGTACCCCTGTGGCTTTGTAGAGTACAGCCTCTCCCCTGGCAGATTTCACAAGCTGGCATTGAGTGTCTGCAGCTTTTCCAGGCTCACGGTGCAAGCTGTTGGTGGATCTACCATTCTGGGGTCTGGAGGACAGTGACCCTCTTCTCACAACTCCACTAGGCGGTGCCCAGTGAAGACTCTATGTAGGGGCTTTAACCCCATGTTTACCTTCCACACTGCCCTAGCAGAGGTTCTCCATGAGGGTCCCACCCTTACAGCAAGCTCCTGCCTGGACATCCAGGATTTTCCATAAATCCTCTGAAATCTAGTTGGAGGTTCTCAAACCTCAGTTCTTGACTTTTATGTACCTGCAGGCTCAACACTAAGTGGAAGTTGCCAAGGCTTGGGGCCTGCACCCTCTGAAGCCATGGCCTGAGCTGTACCTTGGTCCCTTTTAGCCACAGCAAGAGCAGCTGGGACGCAGGGCACCAAGTCCTTAGATTGCACACAGCAAGGGGCCCCCGGGCCTGGCCTACAAGCAATTTTTTTCTCCTAGGCTTCTGGGCCTGAGATGGGAGAGATTGCCACAAAGTTCTCTGACATATCCTGGAGACATTTTCCCCATTGTCTTGGTGATTAACATTTGGCTTCTTGTTACTTATGCAAATTTCTGCAGCAAGCTTGATTTTCTTCTTAGAAAATGGTTTTTTATTTTCTATTGCATAGTCAGGCTGAACATTTTTCAAAATTTCATGCTCTGTTTTCATTTAAAACTGAATGCTTTTGAAAGCACCCAAGTCACATCTTCACTGCTTTGCTGCTTAGAAATTTCTTCCACCAGATACCCTGAATCATCTCCCTCAAGTTAAAAGTTCCACAAATCTCTAGGGCAGGGGCAAAATGCCACCAGTTTCTTTGCTAAAACATAGCAAGAGTCACCTTTACTCCAGTTCCCAACAAGTTCTTCATCTCCACCTGAGACAACCTCAGTCTGGATTTCATTGTCCATATCATTATCAGCATTTTGGTCAAAGCCATTCAATAGGTCTCAAAGGAGTTCCAAGCATTCCTACATTTTCCTATCTTCTTCTGAGCCCTTTAAACTGTTCCAACCTCTGCCTGTTAACTAGTTCTGAAGTTGCCTCCTCATTTTGTGATATCTTTTCAGCAATGCCACACTCTACTTGTACCAATATACTGTATTAATTCATGTTCATGCTGCTGATAAAGACATACCCAAGACCAGGCAACTTACAAAAGAAAGGTCTGTTGGATCTACAGTTCTACATGGAGCAAGTCACATCTTACATGGGTGGCAGCAGGGAAAGAGAGAGCTTGTGTAGGGAAACTCCTGTTTTTAAAACCATCAGATCTCATAAGACCCATTCACTATCACTAGAGCAGCAAAGAAAAGACCTGCCCTCATGATTCAATCGTCTTCCTCCAGGTTTCTCCCACAACACATGGGAAGTATGGGAGCTACAATATGAGATTTGGGTGGGGATACAGAGCCAAAGCATATCAATACCTGAAAGTAGCAACTTGGGAACTGGGTAACAGGCAGAGGTTGGAATAATTTAAAGAGCTCAAAAGAAGACAGGAAAATGTGGGAAAGTTTAGAATTTCCTAGGGCTTATTGAATGGCTTTAACCAAAATGCTGATAATGATATGGACAATAAAATTCAGGCTGAGGTGGTCTCAGATGGAGATGAGGAACTTGTTTGGAACTGAAGCAAAGGTGTCTCTCATTGTTTTAGCAGAGAGACTGATGACACTTTGCCCATGCCCTAGAGATTTGTGGAACTCTGAACTTGAGAGAGATGATTTAAGGTATATGGTGGAAGAAATTTCTAACCAGTGAAGCATTCAAGATATGACTTGAGTGCTGTTAAAGGCATTCAGTTTTATGAGGGAAATAGAGCATAAAAGTTCAGAAAATTTTCAGCATGACAATGTGATAGAAAAGAAAATCCCATTCTGCAAATCTGCAGAAATTTGCATAAGTATTGAGAAGCCAAATGTTAATCCCCAAGATAATGGGAAAAATGTTTCCAGGGCATGTCAGAGATCTTCATGGTAGCCCCTATCATCACAGGCCTAGAGGCCTAGGAGGAAAACATGGTTTTGTGAGCCAGGCCTAAGGTCCCTGTGCTATGGGCAGCCTAGGGACTTGGTGCCCTGCATCCCAGCTGCTCCAGCCATGGCTGAAAGGGGCTAACATAGAGCTCAGGCCATGGCTTCAGAGGGTGGGAGCCCCAAGCCTTAGCATCTTCCACATAGTGTTGAGCCTGCAAGTACACAGAAGTCAAGAATTGAGGTTTGGGAACCTCAAACTATATTTCAGAAGATGTATGGAAACACCTAGATATCCAGGTAGAAGTTTGCTGTAGCAGTGGAGTCTTCATAGAGAACCTCTGCTAGGGCAATGCAGAAGGGAAATGTGGGGTGGGGTGGGAGCCCCTACACAGAGTCCCTACTAGGGCATCATCTAGTGGAGTTGTGAGATGAGGGCCACCATCCTCCAGACCCCAGAATGGTAGATCCACCGTCAGCTTGCACTGTGCACCTGGAAAAGCTGTAGACACTCAACACCAGCCCATGAAGGCAGCTGGAGGGGAGGCTGTACACTGCAAAGCCACAGGAGTGGAGCTGCCCAAGGCTATGAGAACCTACCTCTTGTGTCAGTGTGACCTGGATGTGAGACATGGAGTCAAAAGAGATCATTTTACAGGTTTAAGATTTGACTGCCTTGCTGTATTTCAGACTTGCATGGGACCTGTAGCCCCTTTGTTTTTGCCAATTTCTCCCATTTGGAATAGCTGTATTTACCCCATTCCTGTACCTCCTTTGCATCTTGGAAGTAACTAACTTGCTTTTGATTTTACAGGCTGGTAGACAGAAGAGACTTGTATTGCCATGGATGAGACTTTGGACTGTGGACTTTTCAGTTAATGCTGAAATGAGTTAAGACTTTGGGGGACTGTTGGGAAGGCATGATTGCTTTTGAAATGTGAAGATATGAGATTTGGGAGGGGCCAGGAGTGGAATGATATGGTTTGGCTTTGCTTCCCCACCCAAATCTCATCTTGTAGCTCTTGTAATTTCTACATATTGTGGGAAGGACCCAGTGGGAGATGATTGAATCATGGGGCCGGATCTTTCTTGTTCTGTTCTCATGACAGTGAATGGATATCAGGAGAACTGATAGTTTTAAAAACAGGAGTTTCCTTTCACAAGCTATCTCTTTGCCTGCTGCTATCTGTGTATCCATGTAGAACTGTAATTCCAATAAACCTCTTTCTTTTGTAAAGTGCCCATTCATGTATATGTCTTTATCAGTGGCATGAAAACAGACTAATACAGGTATCTTTAAAGCAGCGCCCCACTCTACTGGTACCAATTTACTGTATTAGTCCATTTTCACACTGCTGATAAAGATGTAAATGAGACTGGGTAATTTATAAGGAAAAAGAGTTTTAATGGACTCACAGTTTCACATGGCTGGGGAGGCCTCACATTCATGGCAGAAGGTGAAAGACATGTCGCACATGGCAACAACAAGAGAAGAGAGTTTGTGTAGGGTAACTCCCCATTATAAAACCATCAGGTCTCATGAGACTTATTCACTTATTCACTGTCATGTGAACAGCATCCACCCTCATGATTCAATTACCTCCCACCTGGTCCCTCCCACAACATGTCAGAATTATGGGAGCTACAATTCAAGATGAGATTTGTGTGGGGACACAGCCAAACCATATCACCAACCAATTAAAATATCACTCAAATATGTGAAAACAGATTGAGGTGTTAATGTGGATGGCATTTAAAAAGCCAAATACAATTTAAAAAATAGAGGTTAATTTATAAAACTTTTTATAAGATAAAAGTGATACTTTATACATGGGCTTTTGAAAATGCAAAAATGTATAAAGAAAAATATAAATCTTCCACAGACTTACTGAAAAAAATTATGTTAAAATATTTTCTTCTTGTTACTGTTCTAAATATATATCTGTACTGTATCTGTATCTGATTCTACATATTTACATATGTACATCTATATAGCTGTATCCATATCTGCATCTATCTATAATGTTTTCAGCTCAGCAATAATTGTGTTTTAACCTAACATTATCTTAGGTGCTATTCTCTCAGCAAATGTATTGTTCGAAGTTATTCCATTGAATGGGTATTCCAAATATATTTCACCATTATTCTCTCTTTATATAATATGCTGTTTTAAATATTTCTATAACAAAAATTATAAAGCACACTACTGAGAACTTTGAATTCTTTAGCTTGGATGTACTGAGTCGAACAACATGAATGATATTAATATTAATTCATATTTTAAATGTGCTTTTAAAAGAACTTGTGACAATTTCCAAATTTACCATGATATGAGAGTAAATCTCTACAAATAATCACTAGTAGTGGGTGTGTATTTCCAATACACACATATGTTTATATTCTTTGATAGTTAAAAATAATATCACAGTTTTTTATCCACACTTCTGTGATGCTGCTAGATAATTCTTGATGAATCTCTATTGTTTCTACACATCCAGACATTAGTCTTTGTTCTCCAGAACTATAGTCTCAAGAATGTTTTTACAAGCCACCCTGGAAAGATAGAGACAGGAACTCCCTCTGGTGCAAATGTATTTACATTTCCAGATAGTAAAGAGAAAGCCAGTAACTTCTTCTGTAGTGATTTAAAGATGTCTTACCCGTGAGACATTCCAGTTTAATAATTATAGAGACCCTCCTACTTCTCCAAAATGAACTTGCTTATATTCCAAGGTATAAAGACAGTGTCTGTCTCAAGAGGGGAGAAGAACAGGTTTGTCAGCAGCCCATTTATAAGACTAGAGTGTCCTAAAGGCGAGGTTCCTTTCCTGGAATGCTTCCCCATGGTATATTCATGTACCACCTGGCCCTTATCATGTTGCCCTGTGAAAACTGGGGCTCAGAGAACTGATGTGAAGTGTTACTCTGGCTAATCTACTGCATTGAATAAGAAACTTTGCTCTTACTCAGAAGTCTAATATCTTTCCACCAGATGCAACTGTAAAATTATGACTGGCTAACTTGCTAGCTTGCTGGCAGAGTGAATTCTCAAATGCTGAAATTTCTCACTTGGCATCTTAATGCTAGCGATATGGACAGGAGGCAGGGACCTAGTAGAAGAGGGCAATTCCCTTGCAAAGGCCCCACCCTCAAGCCTGGTAATCCATGTCCCTCAAAGGGAATAGGCATTCATGTTTTTGTGCCCAAATGCTGCCTTTTCCAAAACCACTCTGGCCTGCCATGCTCCTATCCTGTATGAATATAAACCCCAAGCTCCACTGACAGAGTGGCAGAACAGCACAGCAGTGAAAGAAAGAAGAGAAGGAGCTTTTGAACGTTGAGAGGAGTTTGTCTGGGGATGGTCAGAGAGGAGATCGGCCGCGAGACAGCTGAACTCCAGGGAAAGATCATCTTCTCACTCCATCTCTTTTTCAGCTCCTCATCCATTCTGTTGAGAGCCAACTCCATCACCCGATAAAATCCCCGCATTTACCATTCTTCAAGTCTGTGTGAGCTGATTCTTCCTGGATTATGGACAAGGACCTGGGGACCAAGAGGGCAGGGTGTAAAAGGCTGTCACCCTGACTCCACTGAGCTGGTTAACATTTAGCCACCCACAGATGGCAAAACTAAAAGAGCATCGTAGCACCCCTAGACATGGCCGTGGGGCAAGAGCCCAAAAGCACTTGCCCCAGCTCACCTGCATGCTCCCATAAGGGGTTTGAGTGCATGGCGGCCGAGTAAATGAGTCACACCCCTGTTGCAAGTCCCACTAAGGGGTCAGGGAACTCCTCCGTCTTAACTGGGGGCTCGCCTGTGATCCAGGGGTTCAGCACAAGGGTGAGTACAGATGCAGAGCTGTCGGATCTGCCTCTTTTCCAAGACCCTGACACCTCCCTCTTTCCTTTGAGTAAAATAAATATTGGCTCTTTTTTTCTTCATGGAAGTCTAATCGTTCCATGGAACCAGAGTAGAGTCCTGGGGCAACCAAAGGCATCTTTTGTTGCTGGAAGGCCCCAAGACTAAACTTCTTTGGCCAAGATCCCCAGACTTTGCTGTGGTGTCTTTTGTTTTTTCATGGCTTGAAATGGCTCCTATCTCTTCTGTATAATGTTAAGGGTAATGCTGCAAACTACTGAGATGTTACTAAGTACAATGTATGTTTGGCCCAGCAATCAAGGGAGCAATTTAGAACAATTTGGTTTCCATTTGTTCTTAGAGGTGCGACCCCAAACCTCCCCCTAATGGCTGCAGGTGATGCGTGGGATGGACAAGGTGCGGTGACTTACCACCTTACTGCCTCCCCTTCTGACTTGGGCACCTGGGCCTGTCTGCAGCATGCACAAGCTGTGCCCAATGGCCATGAGGGGTGGGAAAAAACCATGGCTGCCACTGGGCCCCCAGTGCCTCCTGATTGCTGCACCAGTAGAGCTTTTCCTCCCATGGTTGAGTGGTCCTTACTGGTCTGAACCGTGGAAGGGATACAGTAGTTGAAGAAACCCATTTGTACAGAGCAAGAAGTTCCCCCCAAAACACACTTTTTTTTTTGTACTTTAAGATATTTCCTTTATTCTTTTCTAAGTGAGAGGGTTCCTATCTCCAGCACTCTGCTTATAACAGGAAAAACAGTGGATGACCGACCCCTGCTGGCTGATAACTGCAAATTCACCAGGGCACATCTGAGACTTAATCTAAACAGATCCATGCAGCCCCTGAAATTTGTCCCAAAATCAATTCTAGGCTTCAGATTGAGGCCCTAGAATGAAAAACCTGATCTGAGGGATCCGAAGCTAGGCAACAGGCACAATGTAAATGGGTAGGACCAATTCCTGCTAACTAAATCTCTGTTTCATGGAAGGAGGCCATGCTCCATGACATAGATGAGGCCCAGGGAACTCAAAGGTTGTTTACGGCAGGGAAAATAGGGCGTAATGGGTAAGAGAAGATACTCCCACCCAATAGCACTTCCTCTGTTAGCACAGGTGAAAATCACTTTGGCACCCGTGGGTGGCACCTGCCAAGGTCGCCAGGACTAGGTGACAAGATGGAAGAGAAATAAAGGATGCCCACTTTCTCTCCATTACACCTCTGGTTATCACTGAAAGAAGAAAGAAAATGAAGGATGCCTCTATTTCCCTGTCTTTTAGAATTGGAAACCAGCTATCTTCACCATCCCCAGGTTGTACTTCTCTGGAGTGTACCCTGAACCAATGGGACTGATTTGACCCTCAGACTGTGGAGGAAAAATGCCTCATATCCCTCTGCACAAAGGTTTGGCCAAATTATGTTTTACAAGAAGGACTGGTTTGGCCTCAGGAAGGACCCATTCATTTTGATACAGCCCTGCAGTTGAACCTTTTCTGTAAACATGAGGACAGATGGTCTGAGGCCCTGTATGTGCAGGCTTTCTTTACCTTGCATGGCAATCCAGACCTTTCCTGACAGTGTAGGATTTATCCGTCCCTCCTGTTTGCCATCTCAGGGGAGGCTACAAGGGGCAATCCCAGGGAACTAATAAAACACATCCCAGAAGCACCTCCAACAGAGAAGCCAGCTCCCTGCAGCCTTGCTCCTCTAGGTCTACCTCATCCTCCCTATCCAGCTTCTCTCTCTTGCGTGCCCCCTCCTAGAAATCCTCACCCTAGACAAGCCCCAGTCTCGCTCTTGCTCTCCAACAGATGCCTGGTGAATTTGGCCTCAGTAAAGTCCAGGTTCCCTTCTGTCTACAGAACTTAAAACAGATTAAGGAGGATCTTGGCAAGTTTTCAGATGACTCTGACAGATAAATAGAGGCTTTCCCGAATTTCACCCAAGTATTTGAGCTCTCCTGGAAAGACTTTATGTTACTTTTGAATCAGACCCTGACTAACACTGTGAAGCAGGCTGCTCTGCAAACAAGAGTGAGATTTAGGGATGAGCTTTGTATCACATATAGCATCAGGGAAGGGGACAAACTTTATCCAACTGGAAGAGAGGCAGTACCAATAGATGACCCTGGATGGAATCCCAATGACGAAATGGGAGAATGGAAGAGGAGACTTTCAGGAGTGCATAATGGAGGGGTTACACAGGACTAGGACCAAGCCTCTCATTTATACCAAGTTATCCATGATAAACCAGGGATTTGATGAAAATCCCACTGCCTTCCTGGAAAGGCTAAGAGAGGTCTTGGTCAAGCACACTTGTCTATCTCTTGATTCAGTTGAGGGACAACTAATCCTGAAAGATAAATTTATTACTCAGGCAGCTCCTGATATCATGAAGAAGCTGCAGAAATAGGCCCTGGGACTAGATAGTACTTTAGAGAACCTCCTGAAAGTGGATACTTTGGTTTTTTATAAGTGAAAAGGAGGCCCGAGAGAGACAGAGAGGAAACACAGGAAAGATACAGGAGCTTTAATGACCACCAGGCAAGCCAACAAATCCCAGAATTCCCAGGATACACCCTTTAACTGGTACAGATGTGGCAAGCCAGGGCATTTTAGGAAGGATTGTCCAGGAAGCATGAAGTAGCCACCTTGACCTTGTCCAATCTGAAATGGGGACCACTGGAGGAGGGTGGACTGTCCCCAGAGATGCTCGTCACCAGTTCCAGACCAATCTCCCATATGGTCCAGCAGCAGGGCTGATGAGTCCCAGAGCTCATCTCTTCAACTTCCCGGTGGTCCAGACCACCATTACCATCCAGGAGCCCTGGGTAATTCTGAAAATCAAAGGGAGAAAAGTGGACCTCCTTTTGGAAACCAGAGCTGGTCTCAGTTCTCCTCTCCAACACAGGGCCCTCTCTCCTCTTAGCATGACCATGAGGGGCATCTCAGGAAGGCCTTTTACTGAATATTTTTCCTAACCTCTTAGTTGAAGTTGGGGAGACCTTTTGTTCACCCATGCATTTCTAATTCTGCCTGAAAGCCCAACTTCTCTGTTGGGCAGGGATATTCTGGCCCAACTGTGGACCACCATCCTGATGGCCCCTGGGCAAACTCTTTGTCTCCCTCTATTGGAGACTGATATTAACCCAGAAGGTTGAGCAATTGAAGGGAAGATTGGCTAAGCCACAACCGCCCTACGGGTCAAGGTCCACCTTAAGGATTCCCCCTCCTTTCCTAACCAGAAACAATATCCCCTGAAACTAGAGTTTAGGAATGGACTAGAAGCCATCATTGATAACTTGAGGATGCAGTGCCCCCTCAAGCCCTGCAATAACCCTTGTAATACCCTGATATTGGGGGAACAAAAACCCAATGGGGAATGGAAACTAGTTCAGGACCTCCACCTTGTTAATGAGGCTGTGGTTCTGATACATCTGGTGGTTCCCAATCTGTATACCCTGCCAGCTCAAATACCTGAGGTAACTAAATGGTTCACAGTCCTGGACCTAAAGAATGCCTTCTTCTGCATACCATTATACTCTGACTCTCAGTATTTGTTTGCATTCAAGGATCCTTCTAACCAAACCACCCAGTTAACCTGGACAGTGTCACCTCAGGAATTCTGAGACAGCCTCCACTATTTTGGGCAGGTAATTATCAAGAGACCTCTCTGAGTTCCTTTATCCTCAGGTTAAAGCTTTACAATACATAGATGACATTCTCCTCTGGGCTCCAACAGAGGAAATCTCTAAGGAAGGCAGTAAGGCTCTTCTTAATTTTCTAGCTAACAGATGATATAAGGTTTCAAAATCTAAAGCTCAGCTCTGTCAGACCCCAGTGAAATACCTAGGCCTAGTCCTGTCAGAGGGGACTAGGGCATTAGTCAAAGAAGGGTTTAAGAAAATCTTCTCCTTTCTCCTCCCCCAAACTGTCAAGTAACCAAGGGAATTCTTGGGCATTACAGGATTCTGCAGACTGTGGATACCTGGGTAGAGTGAAATAGCTTGTCCCTTATACCACTTAATAAAGGAGACTCAGGCAGCTAAAACTCACTGTCTAATTTGGGAACCAGAGCCTAGAAAGGCCTTTGACCAACTAAAACGAGCCTTCCTGAAGACACCAGCCATTTATCTCTCCATAGGAAAAATGTTTAATCTTTATGTGTCAGAAATAAAGGGAATGGCACTGGGAGTTCTAACATAGGCCCAGGGTACAGCCCAGTAGCCTGTTGCCTACCTAAGTAAGGAACTTGATTTAGTAGCCAAAGGGTGGCCAGCTTGCCCCTGAGCAGTCTCAGTGGTAGCCTTGCTTGTAACAGAGGCTATTAAGTTAACCATGGGGAATAACTTAACTGTTTATGCCTGAATAATGTGGTAGGACTACCATCTACTGCCTTCTTTATGTTTGTTTGTGTTTGAGATGGAGTCTTGCTCTGTTGCCCAGTCTAAAGTCTTGGCTCACTGTAACCTCTGTCTCCTGGGTTTATGTGATTGTCCCACCTCAGACATCCAAGTACCTGGGATTACAGGTATCTGCCACCACACCAGGCTAATTTTTGTACTTTTAGTAGAGACAATGGGGTTTCATCTTGCTGACTAGGCTGATCTCCAACTCTTGACCTCAGGTGATCCACCCACCTTGGCCTCCCAAAATGCTGGAATTATGTGTGTAAGCCACCATGCCCATCCCAGGACTACTGTCTTCTGAGGGGAGTCTCTAACTAACAGACAACCACCTCCTCAGGTACCAAGCTCTGCTATTAGAAAGATCTGCAGTTCAATTATATATATATATATATATATTGGGGTAAAATACTTCAATTTCTTTTAGGGCTTGTTATCTGTCATATGATGATGCTATACTAGAGTAAGATTAGAATTTGGTATGTTATTGCTACAAAAAGTCTGTTTTGTCAGACTTAAGATCTCTGTTTTAATGTTAATACTGGTCAGTTGTGCCTGAATGAGGCATTTCCAAGCCCCTTTTCTTATCATGGCCTGAACTAGTTTTTCAGGTCAACTTTGGAATGCCTTTGGCTGAGAGGAGGGGTCCATTCAGTCTGTTGGGGGGCTTAGAATTCTGTTTTGTGTTTACAGAGCACTACCATTATCAGTGACCCCTTCCCTTCCCTTTCTAATCACTGTTTCCTGTCAAAGGTAATCATTAAGCTGATTCCTAACACAGTGAAAGGGTTTGATGAGTCTGTTTCTGAAGTTTTCATAAATCAAAGTATTCAGTGTAAAACTCCTCTGTATCATTTTTTTCATCTATGTGGTTATGTGTAGTTTTCTCATAGTTCTATAGCAGAATTTTTCAATCTTGCACTATGCACATTTTGGACTGGATAATTATTTGTTATGGGAGCTGTGCATGGGAAGATATTTGGCAGCATTGCTGGCATATGCCCCTTAGAAGCCAATAACATTTCTCCAGTTGTGTCAACTAAAACTGTCTCTAGACATTGTCAAACATCCTCTGGGGATGAAATAGTCTCCAACTGAGAACCACTGTCCTATAGAATTCAAGTTAATATGATAAAAATTGTTAATCAATTTTACTACTGGTTGGTATTTTAGTTGTTTCTCTTATTTTATTTGCTGGTATGAACATTCTGCTACATATCTTGTGGTAACAATAGGCAAATCTGTTTGGTATATACATAAGGGAGGGATTACTGAGTCAAAATGTTAGTCTTAGTAGATACGCTAAGCAGTGCTTTAGAACTGGTTGTGCCAATTTATTCTTACATTAGAAGTGTGTGTGTTATATTTTCTATACAATTGTTGGTATTTTCAGCCTTAAATTTTAGTGCTTCTGGTAGATATCAAGTGTTATCTGTTTGTGGTTTTCCTTTGCGTTTTTCATTAAGTAATTAAATGCACTGCTTTTTCAGTCCATTTAATGTTGAGTGTACATTTGAATAAGTTTTTATGACTATATGTTCAAAATTTTTGCAGATTTTTAAAAATTAATTTGACCCATCTTTTGGGGAGTTCTTTAGACTTGCTAGAAGTAAATTGATTGTTAGATGTATACATAGCAAATGTAGCTTGCCTTTTTATTTTCTAAATGGTGTTTTTTGATAAGCAGTTATGTTTAACTTTAATGTAATTCCATTTATGTATCTTTATAGTTAGTATTTTTTGTGTCCCACTTGATACATTTGATATACACTAGATATTTCATATTTTCTTCTAGGACTTTTAGTGTTTTACCTTTCACTTTTAGAATTATAATCCCTAATAAATTAATATTTTATATAGGGTGAAATGAAATAAAATCTACTTTTTCTAATGGGAATATCCAATTGATACAGCACTGTTGATTAAAAGACCATTCTACTCCCATTGTAATTTATATGTTATGTAATTCACTATGTCATGGAATTATTACACTTATGTTATAAAACAGGTGACTTACGTGGCAGCATGCTCATTCTCACATGGAAACATTTCAAAAGAAAGCTTATGCTTAAGAGTGCTCTGTTTTATATTTTCTTCCACAGTTTTTGGCACCTCGACTCAGGTCAATACTGGACTTGCTGCTCCTCAACCTGGATTACTTCAGCAATGATAGTTTGCAGATCTGTCTCTCTCTCTCTCTCTCTCTTATTTTTTTTTTTTTCATTTTCAGATTCTCCTACTGAACATCTGAATAAGTCTTGCTGATGACCACGCTGTCGTCTTTCTTTAAAGACTACTGATACGGTTTGTCTCTGTGTCTCCAAACAAATCGCATCTTGAATTGTAATCCCCATGTGTTGAGGGAGGGACCTGGTGGGAGGTGATTGGATTATGGAAGTGGTTTCCCCCATACTGTTCTCGTAATAGTGAGTTCTCAAGAGATCTCTTGGTTTAAAAGTGCTTGGCAGGTCCCCCCTCACTCTCTCTTTCTCCTGCCACCTTGTGAAGAAGGTGCTTGCTTCTCCTTCGACTTCTGCTATGATTGCAAGTTTCCTAAGCCCTGCAGAACTGTGAGTCAGTTAAAGCTCTTTTCTTTATAAATTACCTAGTCTTAGCCACATTTTTATAGCGGTATGAAACGGACTAATACAACCTCCTAAATCATTACTATTTCCTTTATTGTCTTTGAATAAGTTTCTTTTAATCTTTTCATTACTCAGGGCTGTTATAGATGACATGGAAATGTACAGCCCAGTTTCCATAGGCATAAATATTTGTTTCCGGTTTTCTATCCATATTTGAATATAAGCATTCATTGAAACTCCAAGTCATTGTCCAGATTTAGCTCTCTACAACACAGAAAAATTCTAAAACTATTTCCCCTAAGAGACCTTAGAAAGATCAAATATATCTTTTGAATAATAAATAAATATAAAAAACAATATAAATATAGAAATAAAAAGACTAAAATATCCAAACTTAAACTCTTCTCTTCCTCTTGATTCAACTTTTGTTTGGCCTCCTTTGTGACCTCGACTTGAATTCCTCCATCCCCTTGCTCTGTTCCTGCTCTTCCTACTTCTGTACTTTGCAAGAACCTTTTTTTTCCTCTACCTCTTGCTGAGCACACAATTCTCATTAGATTATATCTCATTACAATGTCTTATAAAGAGTTAGATATCATGATTAGCCTTATTTTTATTGGTTAAATCTTGTTCCTGATTAATATAATCTAATGAAATATCTAGCCCTCAAAAGAAAAGACAAAAGTCAACAAACAATTTACGTTTTTCCATAAGACATATACCTTAGGATGCCTTAATATCTACCAATTATTTCATCATTTTGTGGAACTCAGTGATACTAATATTTGGTCAGAAAAAGTAAAATAGATTATCAAAATTGTATTCAATATAAGGATCAAAATTTAACAACAGATATATATATATTTATGTATGTCATATAAAAATAACATTATAATACTGTATGCTATATGTGTTATACATAACATATATATACACCTGTATATGTTATATAATATCATTTTATATGTTACATGTCATTTATATGTTATATGTAAATAACATATATATATGCACTATATATTATGTATATACAGCCATGTGTCATTTAATGACAGGAATACATTCTGAGAGATATTAGGCAATTTCTTCATTGTGTGAACCTCATAGAGTGTACTTACATAGAGTAGGTATAGTCTACTACACATCTATGCCATATGGTATAGCCTATTCCTCCTAGGCTACGAACCTGTGTAGCAGGTACTGTACTCAACATTGTAGCCAATTATAATACAATTGTAAAAATTTTTGTATATAAACATAGAAAAGGTACAGTAAAAATAGCATATAAATGATATTTTTAATGGTACACTTGTATAAGGCACTTACCATGAATGGAGCTTGCAAGACTGGAAGTTGCTCTGAGTGAGTCAGTGAGTGAGTGGTGACTGAATATAAAGGCCTAGGGCATTACTGTATACTTTATCAACACTGTACACTTAAGCTACAATAAACATAAAATAAATTTTTTTCTTCAATGTTATCCTTAGATTACTGTAACTTATTTACTTTATATACTTCTTTTAACTTTTTGACTCCTTTGTAATAACACAGTCTAAAACACACACTGTATGCTATGTAGGAATATTTTCTTTTTTGTATAGTCTTACTCTATAAACTTTTTTATATTTTTAAAATTTCTTTTTCACTCTTTAAGTTTTTTGTTAAAAACTAAGACAAAAGCACATGCATTAGTCTAGTCTGCACAGGGTCAGGATCATCAATATCCCTTCCTTCTACCACCTCATCTTGTTCCTCTGGGAATTCTTCAGGGGCAATAACAGGAAGTGAAATTGTAATCTCCCATGATAACAATGTCTTCTTCTGAAATACCTCCTAAAGGACCTGTCTAAGGCTGTTTTACAGTTAGCTTCTTTTACAAGTAGAAGGAGTACATTCTAAAATGAAAACAAGAAGGCTAGTATAGTAAATACATAAGGCCATAACATATTTATTATCATTATCAAATATTTTATGCTGTACATAATTGTATGTTCTATATTTTTATGTGGCTGGCAGTGCAGTAGGTTTGTTAACATCAGCATCACCACAAACCCATGAGTAATGTGTTGCAGTGCAACAGCTATGACATCACTAGGTGAGATAACTTTTTCAGCTTCATTATAAACTTATGGGACCACCACTGTATATGAAGTCCATTGTTGAGCAAAACACCTTTATGTAGCACATGACTGTATGAGAGAAAGAGAAAGAGAGAGAGAGAGAACTTACTAAGACCTCTTCATATGCTTCATAGCTATTCTTGAAGTTCTTCCAGTAAAAAGTAATTGGTCAAAATTGCACTCCTGAAACAGAAAATAAATAAATAAATAAATAAATAAATAAATAAATTCATCTCATTCTAGCCTTTTGAGACATTGCTATTCTCAGAGGAAAAAACATTACAACTGTCATATCCACCTTTCTCAATGATGGTATTTAACCAAGTGTGCCAGGTTTTGTTAGCAAACTAAAAAACAAACAAGAAATAGAATGGCAGCTCTTTCTAGCTCTCTGAACTACTAGGTTTTTTTTTTTTCAAAACTTTAAAGATCCAGAAAAAGAAAAAAAATACAAACCAAATTATTAGCTTTTCATATTAGAAATTAGATAAACCCAAGAACAAGGACACCTTTAGCCTAGCCTAGACAAAGATGTCTGATAATATTTTAAGGCAAAAGGGTAATGGAAGAAAACTTTCCCTATTTTAGCTGAAAAGATAGACTCCAGTCGCACCTGCAAGGAAGTAGCTACTCACCTACCTACAATTTCTATTAACGAAAAAGGAAGAAAAATTTCATGCAATTGCAAAACTGGAACATTCCATTTCTTGTTACTTCCCAGGGTTACACTCCCTACTATAAACCATATGACCCTTCCGTCATTTCTTTTTCAGAGTAACAAAGACATTTTATTGGTAGAAATCTGAGATACCACACAAACACTGCTTTTGCCTCACTCAGTTCCTGTCTCTCTGGAACTTATCAATATACGTTTATGTTTAGTGATGTTACTCCAGTGAATTTGTGGGAACAAGACTTATTTGGAAATGAGGTGCCATTATAAAAGATAAACCAGATGACCTCATTCTGAAAATTCCAGAAGGAGATGAATTCTGATCCATAGTTTTGTGATAGCCTGGAGTGATCACTCACTCTGATGCCTTCCCTACCAACATCTCAGACCTTGAATCTGTTCCCAATAGCCTTTTGGCTAAAGAAAGTTTATATCTAAAGCAGATGAAAGAGGCTGAAGCCATAAAGATCTTCATCAATCCATCTATGTCTTACTGAAACTAACCCAATGTCTATTAATAAAAGAGACTTTTGAAGACCCATCATACTACATACCTCCAAAAAGTACTCAAAGTTTCCTATATTAGCCCTTGTTATGCCTCTTCTGCCCATCAAAAAGCCAAATGAGTGTGGTTACTACCTTGTACAAGATTCATGGACCATTCATTAACAAGTTTGTACTCCCTCATTCTTTGCAGTTTTCAACCATAATACAATTCAAAAATACCTTACCCCTGAGGCAGGTAACTTCAGTGGTAGATCCATATTCAGCATTTTTCTTTTAAGTATACCTTTCCATCCAACCTCATGATACCTTTTTATATTTCCTTAGGGAAATAAATAATATACGTGATAGTGACATTCCTCAGATTTACAGAAATGTTATATTAGTTTTTGCAAATACTGAGCCAGTACTCCACTCTTATATTACAAATGGTTGGTTTTCTGTTCTGTGCTTCAGTTTGAAAGTCTTACAGGATTGATTTCCTCCTTTTTCTGACAAAGATTTTAAAAACAAACTTCAATTTTTTTAGATGCAAGCGCATTTTCTAGGCCATGACAATACGCAAAATGGTAAATCTTGTTGCCTCAAAAATTCGAAGTTATTTTTCATTTTCTCTGACCAATTAGTAGTAGGGAACTTAGAGAAAATCTTGTTCTCATAAGACGCTGTACAAAGAAATGCTAACATTTTTGAACTTAATGACACTTTGTATATAATCGAATGAAAGCTGAAAAATCTGAGCCTTTGGCTTGGAGAGATTCACAAGAGACTGTCTTCACTAACATTAAGCATTTCCTTCAAAATCCCTTTCCTTGGACTACATAACCATAAAACTTTTCTTCTATTTGTATAGAAAACTTAGGACAAGTTAAGAAACTTTGATCTAAAACAGACCACTAGACATGGCCTTCATCCAGAGCCTTGAGATCAAGACACCTGAATGCAGAAAGCCAAAAACTGCTACAACTATCTTTGTATCTTTCTCCTCTAAATTTTAATGGCTTTTAATTTCCTCTCTCTGTTAGTTTAGTGTTACTGATTGCCAAGATGAGATTCTACAAGTTATTTCTTCAGTCTTCTTTGTCTAAACACCAAAGATTAAAACTGTCATTTATATTACACTTGGCACCAATGAGTCCACACTCTAGCTAAAGGTTTAATCAGATTGCTGAGTTTGTACCATTTTCCCTAGGAAACTATATCCTTGTGCAAAATAATAATAATACCACTTTCCTTTCACTACATACTGCTAAAGAGAATTGAGAATAATTAATATTTAAAAAAATCAAAATAAAAAAGAAAAAATCATCGTAGACTATTATTCCCCACAAAGAAGTTGTGTGTTTAACTAAATCTAATGATTAAAGGTACCTGAAAACAGGTTTTACAAAAATACCATAAACTTCCTTCTCTTATTCTTCAGGACTAAATAAGGTTTTTTTCTCTAAACCTTCAGGACAAAATTTGACTATTCATTGCCTTCTACAACCTTATATACTACATTCCCATTTGCCCTGTTGCTAGCCTGATTGCCAACTCTACTAAATGCTCTGACAGTTTTAAGTTTAGGAGACAATCTTGTTTTTTCTTTTCTATTTGATTCTTATTAAGTTTAGGAGACAATTGTGATATATGCCTCCAACCAGAAATCACCCCAAAGTTCCTGCTTTTCAAAAGAAATTAAATTTTTATGACAAAGTGTCATAATTTTAATGATTCCAACCTTATCAAAACTATGCAGCAATTTTTAAAAATAAATTTAACATTCATTTGGGAGCCATTGATCCTAGAAATTCTTCATGAATACAAACAAAGCTATTTGATTAATTCTTCTTCATACTTAAATATAGACTCTGGGTCACATTGTTTGAATATTTTCAATCTCTGGGACCCAAGATTACTAGATAATTCCTACTTATTTGATAGCTATTAAAAACATAATTTTTATGAGTATTTCAGTTTTGTAATAATCTGACTTAATTCTTTTAAATGATAAAAAATTCTTACTCTTTTTTTTTTTATTGCAGATACTGAAACCTTAAATAACTATGGCCCCTACGTAGAAAGGCAGGGTCTAAATTTCCAAGAGAATATTTACTGGAATTTGAGGAAGTTTAAGCCTGAATAAAGATATAACAAACTATGTCTACCAGTGAATGGTGGATAGCTGTTTTGTCTCCTAGTATGTAGCTTTGACAGCCATGCGAAAGCTCAGAAACATAATTTATTATGCCATGATGAAAAAAACATTAATAACCTAGGCAAGCTAAGTAAGGCTGTAAGACTTGGTAAAAACTGGACAAGCTGTGATGCAATAAAGACTTTAAATATACTCAGCTTCCAGGGAAGTACACGTGTTGACTTAGGGAAAGAAGAATACACACATCTAACAAGAGACGTATTGGATATTTTTCAATATAAACAAAAAGGTTAGGAAAACTAATAAGAAATTAGAGGAAAAAGTAAGTGTTATGCAAATTTATATCAAATTTCTCTTCTCTACAGATTCAAAATAAGAATGAAACCTATTCTCTTGGCTTAATCAAGACTCTTGACTAAAATGCATTGTCTGAGACATTCTGATAATTATGATATTACTATTTGATATCTGCATAATTGTTTGCTCTGTTCTCAAAGACTCTTAAATGCTCTGCACAGAAACTCATTGGTCAGATAATTTAAATTCAACTACAAAGACAAAAGTTACAAGAAGCCCTGATGTCTACAATAACCAGTGAATCTGTGACCATAATTAATATGAGTGGTATCAATCTAGAATTCTGAACAAATCTAAATGTGATCAAATTATAATACCCAGCAAGCTGTTGAACAGTAGAGGGGACTGTGAGAGACCTTGAAGACATAAAAATTATTCCATTGAAAGTGTTGTATAATATTAGCACCTACCTTTATTCGCCCCCATCCTTCTTGGTAGTCTCATGACTTTAACACCCATGTGGCTGGACACACATTGCTCAAAAAACTTTTATTAAACTACAATTACAAATGTTCCCTTTTCCAAAAACTGTTTTTGGCCAATCATTCTCCAATCTAGCTGAATTAATTTTGCTTTTTTCTCTTGCTTAAGCTCTATTAAATTTCATCTGTCTTCTCTAATTTATACTACATCATTTTAAGGGAAGACTTTATTGATCTTCTTCCTAAGAATAATTAATATTTTTATAATATTGATCTTGCCAATTCATGATCATGGTATATACTTCTATTTAATTTAGGTCTGTAATTTATCTTAAAATATGTTTGTGGTTTTTAGTGTGGAAGTTTTCCACATTTTTTGTTAGAAGTTTTTCCTTGGTATTTAATTTGTATGCTATTGTAAATATTATTTTATTTGTAATTTATTTTATTTTTGTTTATTATCATATAAAAAAATTAATTTTATACATTGATCTCTTATTAAAACCTGTTTGCTAAATTTATTTAAATTCACTTATGAATTGTAATGTTTATTTTGAAGATTCTTTTGGATTGTCTCTATCCACAAACACATTATCTGTAAATAATGAGTTTTTTTATTCAAATTATTAATTTTTTTCCTTCTTGTCTTATTGTATTGGTTAGGGCCTCTAATACAGTGTTGAAAAATGTTGATAACTAACACATATCTATGTAAAAAGAAAATTTAGTAAAATATCACTAAATATGGTGTTTGCTATAGTTTTTTTCTAGTAGATATTGTTCTAAAATTAAAGATGCCCTCTTCTAATCCTACATTGTGCTAAGAATTTTCATCATGAATTAACTTTGAATTTTTTGTCAAATGCTTTAGTACATCTAACAAGATGTTCTAATAATCTTTTCTCCTTTTCTTTCTGTTAACATGGTAAATTTATAGGGTTTTGAATATTAGGCTATTATTATATACTTGGAATAATCCTGTTTAGTCATGAACTATTATCCATTCTGTATAACACTGGACTTGATAAAATGTTTTTTACAATTTTTGCATCTATGTTTAAAAGATAGATGGGCCCATCATTTTCTTTTTCTCTAATGTTTTTTCAGGTGTTGATTTCAAATTTACATTGAGTTCATAAGATAAATTAGAATACATTTCCTCTTTTTCTATATTCTGGAAAGGTCTGCATAAGTCTAGTGTTATTTCTTTCTTGAATATGAGGAAAAAATAACTTTAAGATATTCAGGTTAATAAATTACATATTAACTTATTTAAATAGATAATTTTGTTCTATTTTATTTTACCTTTTTGATAAATTTTGTTTAAATTTCTATTTTAATTATATTTATTTGTTCAAAATAGTATTTTATCTGACTAATGTCTGTAGCATTGTAGGAATGTCTTTTTTTATTAGTTTCATCCCCCTGACCAGTGTTACCAAACTCTTATTAATTTTAACAGTCTTGTTAGAGAAAAATAACTTTTGCTTTTGTTGTTTCCCTCTAATTTTGTTTTGTTTCTATTTTGTTAATTTTTTTCTTATTATTTTTTCGTCCATTTCTTTTGGCATTAATTGGCTTTTTCCCCCAACTTCTTATAATGTACTTATATATCATTTATTTCAAGCTTTTTTCTCTTAAAGTTTCATTTAAACTTACAAATCTCCTAATATGTACAGTTAAATTCAATTTCTTAAGTTTAGATGTATTGTAATTTTATCATCATTTAATCAAAATTATGTGGTAATTTGTACTGAAAATACATCATTCAGTCATGGGTTTTTAAAAGTTTATTGTTTAATTTCAAACATTTCATGCATGTTTAGTTACCCTTTATTATTGTTGTTGATGTTGATTTTAAAATAAATCCACTTAAATCTACATATGGTCAATTTTGGTAAGTATACAATAAATTGAAAGTAATATATGTTCTATAGGTACAAAATGCAGTGTTCTGAGTATCCAAATTTGGCCTGATTTGTTCACTGTGTTAATCAGATCTTCTACTTGTCTACCAGTTGTGTTAACAGTGAAATGTGAATGCTGTGAAAATAGCTTCCACTAAGGTTTTGGACTGCCTTTTTCTTCTTTTGTTCTGTCAAGCTTTGCTTTATGTCTTTTTAAGCTATGCTACTCAGTGTTCATAATTAGAATCCTTCTTGAAGGATTTATATTTTTACCATCATTAAATATCCCTCTCTATCTTTAGTAATTCTATTTGCCTTAAAGTTTACTTTCCTGTAATTAATAGCTACAACAGCTGTATTTTAATCAGTGTTTTCATGGTATACTTTATTTTCATTTTTCTATGTCTTTCTATATATTTCATCTGCAGTTTTTTATTGTTTTTTAAACTAGTCTAACTAAATTTGTATTTGATTGTTACTACATTTAATTCAGTTACTGATTGTTGTGGTAAAAGCTACCATTTTTCCTTTGTTTTATATTCCTCAAAACTGTTTTAAATTACTTTTCTGTACTCTATTTTTTCTCACAAATTAATAAAGTACATTTTTATAACCTTCCCTATTAGCTTTTTTAAATACATCCTTTTATTGTTCACTTAGAGAATACATGGAGATTACATTATTATTGAATAATCACTGTTAAATATAAATTAATATTTTATAATTTTAGGCAATATTATAGTCTTCAAAATTTTAATTCCATCTACCACTTCCTGACTTTTTATTTTCTTCATATATTTAATATTAAACATATATGAAAGTTCACAATTACTAAAATCATCTTAAAAAGTAAATAATTGTATTTCTGTTATTTATTGCATTTTTAGGTTTCTCTATAGAATCATTTATTTTTGCCTAGTGATTTCCCTTTAGCACTTCTTTTTGCATAGGACTGCTATTGACAAATTTGGTTTTGAGTTTTAGTTCATCTTTACTGTTAAATGGTATTTTTTCTATATATTAAATTCTACTGTGACAATTTTCTTTTTTTTTTTTTTGAGAAGGAGTCTTGCTCTGTGCCCACGCTGGTGTGCAGTGGGGCAATCTCACTGCAACCTCTGGGTTCCACTGACTCTCCTGCCTCAGCCTCCTGAGTAGCTGGGATTATAGGTGTCCACCACCATACTTGGCTAATATTTATATATATATTTTTTATTAGAGACGGGGTTTCGCCATGGTGGTCAGGCTGGCTTTGAACTCCTAAACTCAAATGATCCCCCGACTTTGGCCTCCCAGAGTGCTGGGATTTCAGGCATAAGCCACTGCACCTGGCAAACAATTATTTTATTTCAACACCATCCTAACAGGTAGATGTGAATATTGAAGTTAAAGAGAAGATGTAAATATTGAAGTTATTCAATGGAAAAAAACATCGAAATAAAGAAAATTAATACTATAACAAGAATTTTTAATCAAGGTAGATCAAATCCATAATGTGTAATAAACTATCTTAATTGTTTGCGATGAAAATTAATGAGTGACATTCCAACTTTAATTTGTTTATATGATCTCTTACCCTACTTGGAGAGATCTTTAGGCTACCTTTAATTAGCCTTTGGCATAGCCAGGAGTCTCATATGATTGCAATGAGTAGAAATTATAAATTTTACCATGGGTCTGAAACTAGGAAACATTATTTTAAAAATTTTACTTAGAACATTTTCTCTTTTGAAATAGCTGTAGGCCAGAAATTTTCTGTGGATATCCAGAGATGTGCTGAAAGTGGACCTTCATTTGTCTTTAATAGCTGCAAACAATGCCAATTCTGAACAAAGAATGTCTTGTTATCTTTGAGTTGTTTGAATTTTTAATTCATATGAATGTAAAAGGATAACTTTGAGTTTAATTCATAGGATCTCAAGTTATCTTTGTGTTGTTTCATAATTGAACACATAGGGACTTAAAAGGAATGTAAAACTCTGACCATTTTCTTTTTCTTCAACTCCTGAAATCTCTATCTCAATGTGATTTTTAACAAAGGTTTAAAAACTGCCATGTTTAGAAAAGGAGACCATCCTTAATGTGGGTAAATGATAAAATACCTTGGAAATTTGAAAATCATTAAATTATCTAGGCAACCTCAAGTTAGAGAAGATTACCTAAATCTTGCCATGATTATTGTCAGATATAAATGATTGAATCATAATTTCAAAAAATATAAATTACAGAAACTCAGAATGATCATTTGGAAATGATTTAAAAAACAAGTACATCTCAGTTGTTTTGTAACTGGAGAAAACAAAAAATCAAAAAACTGAAGCTGCATTCTTCAAAGGTTTGGCTAAATTTATGTCGCCAAAATTAGATCCAACTTATGCCTACATCCTGGGTCCTCTCACAGCAAGTTATCTTCTTTAAGCATATCTATTTTATTACATATAATTATATAAGAGCAGAATACTTCAGAGTTCCTCCAATATATGATTTTTTTAAGTTAAAGGAGTACAAGATCCCAATGCCTCTCAGCAAACCTGTAGTGTGAGTGATTATTTGTGTCAAAGTAAGACTTTTCACAGACAATGTCTTAGGTTGCTCCCTAAAAACATACTGAAAGATTATTTTTCTAAAACTTTATTATAAGAGATATATCAATCTTTGGAAAAGCAAAAGAAACAAATGTATAATATATGTTGGTCTTGAAGATAACCAAAAACAAAACACAAATAAGCAAAAAAAACTCATAGCATCAATTGTCCTAAAAGGTAACTAACAAATCAAGCTCCATAATTACTAGTTATTTCTTTAAGATTTTTTAAAAAACAGAAAGGTATGGAAAATCATAAAATTAATCTACTATCCATAACTGAAAACTAGTTGTACATAATTTTTATATAAGTTTGTTAAAATAACATATGACTTCTCTTTTTTACCTTACCAGACCATCTAAATTCATGGGGATTTTTCTATACAAAACCCTGACTACTTCAGGAAGGTTTAATAAACTATTTTAAAACATTTTAAATGAAGGCTATCAAACACCTCTATATCTCTCTATACAAATGGAAGGATGTATAAAGAGAGATGGAGAGAACTAAATGTAAATTTTCAGACTTTGCTTTTACCCAGTTCATAACAACTCCATGTGATTGTGTCTTTAACCAGAACACCTAATGCTTCCCATCAGATTAGTGCTCAATTATGTCAAAGTGCACTGAGTACTCATTTTAAAATAGATGTCTATTATCAGAGCTACAGAGACAACATGAGGAAATGGATACAAGAGAAAACAAATCTAGACATTTATTGTTACTGGTATACAGAAAGAAGAAGAAGGCTCAGAATTCAGCTGCATAGAATATTTTTTTCTTCATGACAGCAAAACTCTTTGTTAAATGTTTTGAATATAAAAGTCAAGTTGATAAATGCTAAGGATTCTTTCTGCTCCATAGCTACAATAACTAGTCAGTTGTTAAAACTACAAATGATTTCTACATTTCCTCTTGAAAGGTAGTTCATATAGGAGTTATTGAAGTGGAATATACTAAATCTAAGTTTATGTTCAATGCCCTGTGGTGATGTAGGTGTTTTTAGTGTTTTTGAGAGTGAAGGGTACTGTGGTTGAGTTTGGTTAGAATTGCTCTAGAAATTTTTGATTACAATACTTTAAAGGGGAGCATTATACTGCAGGATTCTTTAACTCAACATATTGGAAGATTTATTTCACAGTGTTGTGTGTAACTGCCAAATAAGTACACTGCTAAACCCTTATTACCTTTCCTTAAGAAAGTAATCGTAGAGTAGCTAAAGAATTTGTGGGTCTCATGGAGACTAGAGATAAAAACCAATTGGTTCAGAAAAACGCCTCTTTGAACTTGTTGTAATAGAGTGCTCAAACAATTCTCACATAAAATATATGGATTGTAATTATGTTGATAATATCTCCACAGAGGTAGGAAATGCAGTTCTATATTTTAGGTTAACACATCATAGAGATAAGAAATGAGACATAATATTGGACTGGATATGAACATGGGTCAGTATTAATTCACCATTAGTTTAATAAACAGGAGTGTCTTTAATAATCGTTCTTGTTAAAATTATAATTCCAGGAACAAAAATCTAGCAAAATTCCAGAAAATTTATAAAATCTTTTGGAAAATGAACAATATATTTTGTTTGCTGTTTGTATTTTTGTTTTTAAACAATCCATATAAAATAATAAGTAACCAATTAACCTAATTGTAATAAAATTCTGAAGGGATGTTATTTCATAATCAACAATTCCAAAGACACTTTTGTTCTATCATTTTATACTATCGTATGGTTACTTCCTTTGTAGATATGTATTCCATAGATGCCAAAATAGTAAGTTTGAGTTTGTGGTTTATAAATAAAATAGCATATGTATAATAGCACATCCTCCAGATAGTTTCATTTACCAGACTAGAGAACTAGCATTTATTAAGCAGCTACTGTGTGCCTGCTCTGTGCTTCCTTTTAAAAATATTACGGCATTCAATTTTCCTTACAATTTCTGTAAGTATTATGTAATAATATTCCCACTGTTTTAGACAGAGTAACTGAACTTTGGGAGATTGATTGTCTTATTCAAATAAGTAGAAAGGGTTAGAGACTAATTTTCATCCAAGACTTCCTAAAACTACAATCGTTACACTTTTTTCCTAAGAGAACAAAGACCTCTTGGAAGGGGTGGCCTTCAAATTGAGTCTGTAGCACCACTTTCCTAGCAAAAGCAATTAATTGCTAGAGTTTGATCCATATATAGAACAAACCTAGAATAAATTATTTATTTAAACTGATAAGTTTCTGTCTTAATTTGCTTCCACAAAAATGTTATTATGAGTACTTGGCTTAAAAAGAGAAGAGTGTTGTCCATCTAACTCGAATTTCAATTTATTCTTCTCTAAAAATGTTCAATGTCTGTCACAGGTTTCTCCCTAAATAATTGAATTTAGGAAGGTAAATAATAAAGTGAGCTAAAAGAAAAAGTAGGCCAGATTAATCTCTTTAGAACTTTATATTCTGTTAACAGGGGCAGATGAAATACCAGAATTCCCTGAAGCAAATAATAAAGTTTCAAAACACCTGGGTTTTTTTGGGGGGAAGGGGGGAGACACAAAACTCAGTGTTTTAGCTTCCTCAGTTGTTCCTTTTTGATGTGGTAAGATGCAGTGCCTGTATCCACTCAATAGAGATAGAAAAAGAATTTAATAAAATTCAACACCCCTTCATGATAAAAAAAAAATCTCAACAAAGTAGGCATAGAAAGATCAAAACTAGGTTGGGTGCAGTGGCTCATGCCTATAATCCTAGCACTTTGGGAAGCCAAGGTGTGTGGATTGGCTGAGCCCAGGAGTTTGAGACCAGCCTGGACAACATGGCAAGACTTCATCTCTTAAAAAATAAAAAACAAGAAACAAAAGAAAATAAAGATTATACCTCAAAATAATAAAAGCCATGTATGAGAAGCAACTCACAGCCAAATCATACTGAATGGTGAAAAGTTGAAAATATTCCCTAGAGAACTAAAAAAAAGACAAGTATGCTCACTTTCATGACTTGCATTCAACATAGAACTGGAAGTCCTAGCCAGAGCAGTCAGGCAAGAGAAGGAAGTAAAGTAAATTCAAGTTGGAAAACAGAAAGTCAAACTATCAGTGTTTGTTGATGATATGATTGCATACCTAGAGAATCCTAAATACTCCTCCAAAAGACTCCTAGATTTGATCAATGAATTCAGTAAAGTTTCAGATTACAAAATCAATGTTTGCAAGTTATTAGCACTGTTATCGTAATGACCAAGCTGAGAATTAAATCAAGAACTCAATCCCCTTTAGAATAGCTGAAGAAAAACAGTAAAATATCTAGGAATATACATAACCAAGGAGGTAAAAGATCTCTACAAGGAAAATTACAAAACACTGCTGAAAGAAGTCAGGGATGACACAAACAAGTGGAAACACATTCTATGCTCATAGATTGGAAGAATCAATGTTGTGAAACAGATCATACTGACCAAAGCAATCTACAAATTCAATGCAATTGCCATCAAAATACCAACATTGTTAATCACAGAATTATAAAAAATAATCCTAAAATTAATATGTAACCAAAAAGAGCCTGAATAGCCAAGGCAATCCTAAGCAAAAAGAATGAACATGGAAGTATCACATCACATTACTGGACTTCAAGTTATACTATAAGACTATATAGATACAAAAACAGCATGCTCCTTACATAAAAATAGACACATAAACCAATGGAACAGAATAGAGAGCCCAGAAATAAAGCCAAATAATTATAACCAGCTGATCTTCAACAAAGCATACAAAAACATACACTGGGGAAAGGACACTCTAATAAACGGTGCTGGGAAAATTGGCTAGTCACATGTAGAAGAATGAAAGTGGATCCCTATCTCTCATCTTATACAAAAACTAACTCAAGATGGATCAAAGACTTAAATCTTGCCATCATATATGATTTTGGAAAATTTTAGTTATTTTTATACCATAAGCAATTAATAAATTCTGATTGAATACCTGATTGATACCTATTTTATAGAGAATATTATATTCAAAGGCAGGGGTTACATTATCTTTGTATCTTCTATAGTGTCTCTCATATACAAGGTATTCAAGAAATATTTGTTAAAATGAAGTATATTTTATTGTTTCATATTTTATATTTTTTTACAATTAGCTTTTCCAATGCCTTGATAAATACATCAAGCTATTATTTAATGTTTGATAATAGATATTTAATTAAATATATTATATACTTCTAAAATACAATTCATGTTTGATAATATATTAAAGAAGAACATGCATAGAATGTGTAATAATTTTTATCATAAACAACTGAATGTCAGTGTTTATTGATTTAGTCTTAATCATATACAACCTTTTCCACTCTAAAACCAACTATACTTTTTCATATATTTTTAAACAAACTTAATACTTTCAGAAAGGTTGCTGCTCAATTCAGCCATTTTATCCTATTTATACCTCCATTATTGTTTTAACTTGCTATTCTATTATCCTTCAGTCCCTATATCTTTATTTTATATGTATGAGTTTGTTTTTTCTTCTAGAGTAAGTTTCAAAAATTCCAGCAAACTGAGTAGTCTGTTGTACCTTATGGTTCTAAACCATTGTTGTTTGTATTTATGAATTTTTCCATTATCTTTTAGGCATTTCATCATTGTTTCACAATCTAAATGCTGGTTTTGTTTCCACCACATTTTTTTTCTCTAAGCACACTATCCTGGACAGAAGTTCTGCAATTTATTGCTGTTTTGTTTTTCATCCTTGAAGTCCAGTTAAATTTCGTATTAAACAAAAAGATCAAATGTGAATACAGAAAATCGTGCAAATAGAATTTTGTGTAGGATAAAATGTTTTTCTTTAAATATTGGTCTCCTGCTTTGTTTATATTAAGAATATATTTATTGCAGCACTATTCACAATAGCAAAGACTTGGAACCAACCCAAACATCCATCAACGATAGACTGGATTAAGAAAATGTGGCACATATACACCATGGAATACTACGTAGCCGTAAAAGATGATGAGCTCATGTCCTTTGTAGGGACATGGATGAAGCTGAAAACCATCATTCTCAGCAAACCATTGCAAGGACAAAAAACCAAACACTGCAAGTTCTCACTCATAGGTGGGAATTGAACAATGAGAACACCTGGACACAGGAAGGGGAACATCACACACTGGGGCCTGTTGTGGCGTTGGGGGAGAGGGGAGGGATAGCATTAGGAGACATACCTAATGTAAATGACGAGTTAATGGGTGCAGCACACCAACATGGCACATGTATACATATGTAACAAACCTGCACGTTATGCACATGTACCCTAGAACTTAAAGTATAATAATATATATATATATATAAAATAAAAATAAAAAATACACTCTAGAAATGTACATTATCATGACTGTACCTAATATTGTGTACTAGCTTCTAAATCTAAACCAGAGAGCCTGCTTCTTTTTGTTACTTCCTTTTGACATGCAGTCTTCCTTCTTACCTTTTTAAGAAATGACACCATTTCCTGTGACCAGGCAGAAGGGTAAGTTACAACAGTCATCTCAAACGTGTACAATTTCCTTGCTGGAAGTACTGGAGCAAATATGATATGGTCTTTTAAGGGAGAAAAGAAGTAAAAGTCTTCATTTGTATAGGGCAAAAGAAAAAATAAATTGTTTCCAAGCTAAACTTTCAAGCAACAAAATACCTGTATCAATTTCTAAAAAATAAAAATAAAACATAAAAAGGAATATATATTTAGCCAATTTAAGAGAACGTGTATGTTACACACTATTGAGGGAATATAGTTGAAAAATAAAATTTCCTCTCAGCCTAGAAAACTGCTCCACAAAGGTAGAAGAAAAAGACAATTTTTCTTTTCTTTTTCGTTTTAATTGAAGAAGCATTAAAGCAGAATATGGTGTGTATCACAGGCAATCTGCTAGGAGATTATAAAGAAACAAACAAAAAAAACTCACTCTTCTATGTAGCTAAGCAGATTCAAGCCATTGCATACATGGTCTCAGAATAAATGATAACTAATCATCAAATAAGAGGACTTGACAACACTATTTATCACACATAGCTCATCATAAATTCATCTGGTAAGTGGGATGACCATTTCTGTTAGCTAAATGGTTTTCTTCAAAGTAAAAAAATTTCTCATGATTTTATGTTAGGAAGTTGTTTTGAAGCAAGGAACTCTTTTGAGTTAGGTCCTATTCTTCCACAAAAAATGGGAGATAGCACCACTTTTCTTGATGATTACATTTCAGAAATGGTGCCCAGGTCCTTTAAAAAGACATTCTTGGTCTGTACAGCTAGCAACAAGCTTATTTAGGTTTTTAAAATATTTATGTGCATCTCAAAGGGACAGAGAAAGGATTTGAAATTGCAAGTATTTTTTAATAAAATGATTTGAAAGAAAAGAGGAAGATAGAGGAGTCTCCCATAATTACCAGAAAATTCCCCTCCTCACCCCCAATTTGTATTCATCGTTACAATAACCTTGGGCTATATATGATTCTTTCCAACAAAAATTTGCAATGAGTTTAGGGATATGTGAAAAATTTTTTAAATAATCTCCCATCTGAAGGATGAAGTGTATTTTTCGGTTCTCCTTTACTTTTCCCTCCATTTGGCTTATAATCTAACTGAGGAATAAGAGATTCTTCCTGCCATCTATTCCACATTTGCAGGGGAATATCTGTTGAATGAATTGATGAAGACAACCTTAACAATATTTTCATGCACACACTCAACTAGACTCTATTTGGTGCTGGTAGATTGTCTTCTTTATTCTGACATTTTTAAATCTCTTTTAGATGAGTTCATTCTAAGGAAAGACATATTTATATACTTAGTAACTATTTATATAAATCATTCAACAAATGTATTGGTCTCAATTCTTCAAATATTTCTATTCTACAAATAATAACTAGAGCACTTTTTGTGCAAAGTATTGTTCTAGATTGTATGAACGTAGTATTTCTTGCCATTGTTAACTAAGATATCTTACATTCTTCGGAAGTTTGAAACAGATGCCTTTTAAAAAAGTCATATATACAAAAAAGAAACAAAGAAATTTGAGTACACATAAAAAGCCTATTTTTAAGTTAAGAGCCAAGAAAATGATCTTTTAAAAACCTCTTAAGTAACTGAAACCTCATTTTATTAATACAATCATTGTACAAGAGTTAATTTCTTGTCCCTGAGACCAGTCTAACATTTGTCCTATTCAGGTTTTTTTGTTCTTTTTCTTTGGTGAAATTATACTTTTCAGTGACCACAGTCAATTGCCATCACTACTTCCAGATACATTTGGAACAATTGGTGAAAAATATTTTACCACAATAGACGTTTTGATTCTGACAACACATGTACTGTGAGCCTTTAATTTACTCAGTCAAATCCCACAGGACAGAGAAAATCCACATAGCATTGACATATTTATTGAGACACTCTTCTACTGTAGCTTGGGGATATTTTACTTTTAGAAATTGATTAATTTATATAATTTAGATTCTTCACTGGAAAATCTTATATTGAGACACTCTAAGTGTAAAATTTAATTCTTCCATACAGTCACTCTCTTTTTCATCTCACCTCTTTTCCTCTCTGCTTTCCCTATCTCACTCTTTCATTCTACCACTGAAATATTTAAAAATAAAACAAGACCTTAATGTATCAAGGGAAAACACATGTTTTCCATGGGTTATTTACGAGTAGTATTATGAGATTTCTATGTTCTCTGTGGTTCTCTATTGCCACAGTTTGAGCTTTCATCATTATTTAATTCACAGATATAAGTGGATTTCATTGTCTTTGATCACCATTTTTTTGTTATTTATTACTTAATATTAACTGTACTTGTTTATTGAATTATGAAAAATATTTTTAACAAAGTTATTTATCTTACTAAAATGAATCCATTTGGGTGACATTGCCATTATTGTGATAACAGTGAAATTGATTGCAATAATCATTTCTCTAATTAGAAATTAAAATCTAATGTTAAAAACCATTAAAAACACAGTAGAAACTCTGATATTTAAAAAGAGTAAGGCCTAAAAGTCTCAACTAACTTATAAAAGAATGCAGTTAGTTGATGAAAACAGTATGCTAAAACATAATTTAAAAATACCTAGCGAGTCTCAAATCAGATTAGATGGATAATTTTTTAAATCGGTGGCTAAAGTTAATTGTTTTGTTCTCCTTAAAGAAAGTATTAGCATGTTCGAAAACAAAACAAAACAAAAACATTATCATATTTAAATTCAACCTCTCTGTAGCAATATTTGCAAGATTATAGACTTTTCAAGCTAAGTGCATCAATCAATCACCAGAGAGCAGTAGCCATCATTAACATTGGCTTTTAAGAGATATATTCTCTCCTACATTCAGAGGCAACAAGCTAGGCAGAAAGAGATAGGCAACTGAATAAAAATATTAAATATTTATGATTTAAAATTCCCATATTGTTCAAGACTTTTAAGGTGATGCCTTTTAGTACAAATTCATGATTTTTTTAGCCATCAAAATGTCTCTTTCTCTGGGATTTACTATCACAGGAGTTTAAAACAAAAATAACCTTTCCTTTGTCTCCTGATGTTAAAGTTCCTACTTTAGTGTACTCCAAAATTAAATACTAAGCACAAAATTCTACTGTGGTTAATAACTGTAATTGATCACACAAAATAAAAAGAAATATGAATTCTATATGACAAAACCAGATAACTTCCCATGTGATCAGTCTTAAGAAAGGTTTGAGAATTTCTATGCTTGTGATATTAGAAGCTGTTGCTTTCAAATTTTACCTTACATCAGAATCACTAGGAAAGTTATTAAAACATAGAATCCTGGACCTCATTCCCAGAAGTTCTAATTCAGTAGGTCTGGGCAGTAATTTGCTTTTCTGACAAGTTTCTAGGTGATGCGGATGCTGCTGGTCTGGAAACCAATCTTTGAAGATCACCTAGGATTAGAAACTAGGTGACTTATATTCAAGTATCACTTGCATAACAATCTCACTATTAGTAAATAGTAAAAGTTTCATAAAATTTATTTTATTCATATCTTACATTAATTGAAGAACAGCACTTGCCTATGTTAAGAATTTTATTGTTTTCACTTGATGTGGCTTTGTGGAAAAATTATAGAAAAAAATGTGGAAAATAAAGCCTATTTTGGGGATAACTATGGATTTCTGTTATATATTTTAGGGTGCTAAGCGGTATTAAGGTATGTAGGGAAAAATTCATGTTTAATGCAGTTGATGGGTTTGATATTAAAGGAAGGGAAGACTGTAAACAGTTTAGTGAACATGGCAGTTCCCAGTATTATAGAGCTTTATGTCCTGAAAGACAAGTGTGAACATATTTCTCACCTTTATTTTTATGATTTATTTATTTTTCTTTTTTTTTCTGGAACAAAAAGCATGAACTGCATTTGAAGGGCCATATATGATATAAAAACAGAACTAAATGAGAAATTTCAAAAGCCTTTTAGTTGCTGTTCCAAGGAAACTGTTTTTAACAAGAAACCACAATGTCATATTTAATCAACGATGAACAGAAAAGTTGCATGACCAGGACAAATAAAGGAATAATCTTGCTTAATGAAACCAGTTTATCCCCCTTATTATGAATATCATATTTCTATAGATATTCCAAAGATATCATGGGCTTAGAAAGTAGAGTCAAAAATTAACAGTAATTTACAAGGAACTAAACGACCCTTAAAAAAGACCTTTTAGTGGTTTCATTTCCCACTCTTCACCAAAGTGTCTCTATGTTTTTTACTAGCATTCTAATTTTGACTTTTTTTTTTGGCATGATAGTTTGATAATAGTTATGTAGAAATTTATCCATTTATAAAATTTCTAATCTTGCTTTACAAGCAAGAATCTAAAAAAATCTATGCAAAAACTCTACATAATCTATTACATACGATGTGTACTGTGAAAAAGCACACAGGAGATCCCTTATGAATTAATAACTGGTTTTCTTAACTTTAAAATTGTTTTCCCGGCCAGGCGTTATGGCTCATGCCTGTAATCCCAGCACTTTGGGAGGTCAAGGCAGGCAGATCACTTGAGCTCAGAAGTTCGAGACCAGCCTGGCCAACCTGGTGAAACCCCGTTACTACTAAAAATACAAAAATTAGCTGGTCTTGGTGGTGCATGCCTGTATCCCCAGCTACTCGGAGGCTGGAGCACGAGAATCACTTGAGCCCAGGAGGCAGAGGTTGCAGTGAGCCAAGATTGGGCCACTGCACTCCAGGCTGGGTGACAGAGCAAGACTCTGTCCCAAAAAAAAAAAAAAAAAAAAAAAAAAAAGAGATAGCAACCTACTTTTTTCTCTTTCCAGAAGGCAGTTGCTTCAATGCAATTTGCTGAATAGTCTATCCTTTCTTCATTTATTTTTTTCAATTTACCAAGAACCCATACATTTGGAAAACATGAGCAATGTTTAACAAAGTAGAAAATAACCCATACTCAATGATTTACGGTAAAAACATACAACTCCTGTTTGTTTTCCTTTACAGAACTGTCTTAGACAATCCTAAATTTTTACACTTTTGGAAGAATTGTAGAATCAATTCCTCAAGATTTCTCCCATCAAAAAACTACTTGGATTTTTAAATATAACTGTATTATCTGTATATTTTAATTTGGAGAATTTAACATTTCCAAATTGAGCCTTAACACTCAAAAACATGAACATCTCTTCATTTATTCAAATATTAATTATAACTTTCAGTAATACCTTATAATTTTCTCTCTAGAACTCTTTTATTTCACTGAACAGCTTTAAACTATTGTTTATTATAATATTTATTTTATTATGTTTTCTATATATGAAATAAATATGTACACAAGATAGATAGAAATTTTAAGGAACTACTTAGTGCTTTTCTGATAAATGAAGTATATAGTATTCATTTGGGGTTAAAGTATTGGACATATAGTTTGGGTTTACATCGAATATAATAATAGTGGCTCTCACTCGGGATATAAAAGAAAAAACCTGAGATGAAGAGGAACATAGAGGGCTACAGCTTTACCTATAAATTATTACTCTTTATATAATTTACAGCTTTACCTATAAATTATTACCTATAAATTATTAGAAGGACAGAATGGTCTGAAATAAATATATTGTTTCTACTTTTGAATAGTGAGTATATGTGTAATAATTGTATAACTGTAATTATCTTTAATTTTCCATGTAATTAAAAAAGAAACATAAGGCAGGGCTTTAAAGGATTAATATAATTATATGAAATAAGCAAATAAATAAAAAGTTAGAAATGGAATATGCCAGCTGTGTATTAGCCATTGTTGCTTTATCTAAGAGATATATTTCTCAGTTACAAGAGGAAGAACCTTTCAGGTTCAACAATACAGCTTTTCCATATTATACTTAAAATCTTAGATGGATGCAGTACACCGCTCGGTGTCAACAATCTCCACTCGACCTGTCAGTTCGGGGCCAGTTAATAGCCCCATGCTTCACATCCTTGTACATCTTACATAACTGACATTCTTATACCTGCGCTGTGCTGTGCTTCTTCTCAATCATTTCCACAACAATGTCTGAAACCGCTGTCCATTAAAAAGAGATCCTCCTTTAACCTGCAACTTTTCACAGAATTCTTCCTCCCTGTCCTTGCCTGAGGCTAACACTTGTCCTTTTCCCCCTCTGAAGCTTTCTTAAGAGGAGGAGGGTATTCATTCTTCCATACTTTATGTACCTCTGGACAAAGAAGTAATTCCATTAGTATTCTTTCAGTGTTTCATTGCCACTTCTAGACAATTTTTTTTAAAATCCAAAAATAGCGTAGACTCTGGGGCCTGAAGTCTTAACAATTTTTTAGCAATGACTTACTGGACAATTACAAATTCTATGTCTCCATGCCCTCATATGAAAAACAGAGAGATATAAAATAGTCAACTTGTAGACTTGTTGTCAGAATTAAATGAGTTAATACACATAAAGGACATATAAAGTGGTTTTTAAAATGTAACATGATTACAAGGTTTACACATATATTTATTATTATAATGTCTACCAGAGGAATCCAATCTGAATCTTTTAATTTCCACCATTGATTTCATTCATACATGATCTCTGTAACAGCACAGAATCTAAAATATTTCTTTTTCTCAAAAATAAAACTCTATTTCCTTTTAGTTTCCTCCATGGAGAATTCTAGTCATTTATTTCATGTATTCTCTTGTGATATAATTTCAGACAAACTATAGACTTATCTACTCCATATTTGAGTGACGATTTGCTACTGATTTACATCTAAATTATATAAACGATATATTAACATCAAAATACTGATTGGCTATATGTAGAAGAACTAAGAAAAAGTGCTTACGAAATGATGGTTTAAATTAGATGGCTACTAATTTTTAAATGTAGAGAATGAAGAGAATTTTAAGGAAATACATGAAACATGATATAAAGAAAAATACACTTTTTCTTACCTATAAATAAAAATAGCTTACATTAAGATGGGGATTTAGATGTATTGTACTATAGGTGGAGGCTCCATGGCTCAAATGAACTAATTTATATTCCAGTCAATAGAACAAAATCTCATCCTATAGGAACTGTGGCATATTAAACAATTTTTGTGGTCTCCCCAGAGTCCACTAAATCAGAATAAAGACCAACACCAATAAAAATACTTATGGGTCTAGAGATTTTATCTATAAATTCATTCTCCACTATAAATTGAAAAAACTTACCAGAAGTTGGATAAAGTACTCATGTATATTAAGATAAATAGCTTTGGTCTGAAGCTTTCTAGATTATTCCCCTTGAATGTATAATAAAGATAAGGTACACATGCAATCATTATAGAGTCAAGACACTTGCTCCGATTTCCTCAACTATTCAAACAAGAATTCCATGCTTACAGCAGTCCTAAATTGGCACTGATTCTATGATAATTCCTAAACCATAAAAAGTTAAATTGGACCAATTTGATGTTTTACACTTGTTTTGTAAAAGTTTAAGTTTGCTACGTCTGTTTCCAATATAAAAGTAAATTAGAAACCAGGTCTCAAAAGTCGCTCTGGGTTTTTTTCTGATTGGCTATGCTAATAAAAAGTACTGTTTTCAACATTGCAATAACAAGATTAGTCATCAAGTCTTGACAATTTTTAAGTAAGAATTAGTGTTTCTCAAAGGGTAGTCTGCAGACACTAATGTGTCCTCAAAACTGTTCCAGGGTATCCATGAAGGTAGAACAATTTTCCTGTAATATTAAGACATGATTAGCCTTTTTGACTGTGATGACATTTACACTGATGGTTGTAAAGGAACAAAATATAAAGCTCTGGGTACTTAAGCATGAATTAAAAAACCTAACTGTGCCAGTAATCATTGAATTCTTCACAGTAGCAAATTTGAAATTAAAAAAAAATCCAGTTTCACTTGAGAATATCTTTGATGAAGCAATAAAAATTACTTATTTCATTAGATATCAGTCATCTGGTGCAATTGTTTTCAATATTTTATGTGATAAAATAGAACGTACACATAAAAACCCTTCTGCTCAGACCTGAATTACCATGGTTGTTTGAAGGAAAAGTATTTTGCAGTTTGAACTGTGAGTGGGCCCAGCCACATTTTTTGTGAAATACCATTACACTTGAAAGAACTATAAAAAGACAAACTACAGTTGTTAAGTTTTGGATATTGGACAAACATTTTCTTCAATATGAATTAAATGAATCTACTTTTCCAAAAAAAATAAATTTTTGTGTGATTCTTTAAGGGTTTTTGTTTTGATTTGTTTTTGACACAGGGTCTTGCTCTGTGCTCAAGTTGAAGTGCAGCGGAATGATCTTAGCTCACTGCCGCCTTGAACTTCTGGGCTCAAACAATGCTCTCCCTGCAGCCTCCCAAGTAGCTGGGCCTATAAACACATGCCACCACACCTGGCTAATTCATTTTATTTTTTGTAGAAAGGGGTCTCACTGTTTCTCTGGCTGTTCTCAAACCCCTGGCCTCAAGCAATCTTCCCCACCTCAGCCTCCCAAATTGTTGGGATTATGGGGATGAGCCATTCCACCAGGCCTATTTGTGGTTAATAATGAAATTCGAGCTTTCAAGTAAAACATTAGAAATTTGGAAAATACATTGTCATCATCATGAGCTTAATAGCTTGCCAATACTTAGAGGCTTTACTAATGAGATCAAGTGATAAAAATGAATGTGATTTAAATTTTAGCTTGAACAGTAAAGTATGTCAGCAGTTGGGGGATATGGATAGTTCTGTGAAACTACATTTTTCCAATGAACAATTATGCATAAAAGGTGCATTCAAAATGTAAGATGGAGCAATGGATCTTAATGTAATAAAGTACACAAAGCTCAATGTTGTAGTTTCAGAATCCACATTGCAACTAACTTTAAGAAAGTACTATTTCTCTTGTTTTGGTACAGTAACAAAAAAAGTCCTTAATTATGTGAAAAGCTATTAAAATGCCCTTCACATTTTAATATGTATTTGAGGTTGAACTTTATTCACGTTTAAACCAAAATAAAACACTGTGATAGATTAAATGCAAAACAGCAGAAAACAACTATCTTCTATTAATCCCAATATTAAACAGGCTTGCAAAATTATAAAATAATTCCAATCTTCTCAATTTTTTTGGTTTGGAAAACTATAGTCATTTTTTATTAAAAAAAACTCTTTATGTTAACATTTGTCCATTTCTTATTTTTATATTAAGATAAAATAGAAAATTAAAAAAGATTGTGTCATTTAATAGCAATAGATATAGTACTTATATACAAAAGCATTTAAGGATCCTCAATTATTTCTAAGAGTATAAGGGAGTCCTTATAGCAAACCGTTTGAGAAACACTGTTTTAGATCAATGCCATGATCAGTCTCTTACTCAGCCTTAACATCAATGGTTTTTCTCCTGGAGATGGAAATTTTACTGGTTCTCTGCAGTAACATCAGAAAAGACAATTTTCTTTAGACCCTGCAGCATGTGATTTTAAACTATTTTTACTCTTTCCTCCAGAAGTGCTTCCTGGTGTCTGACTTATGGTTCAATGACATTATTTTTCCAAATACTTTTCTGTTCCCATGCCACTGCAACAAGATTTGCTCACCAAAATGCCATATTACTTTTTCAGCCACATTCCTATAATAAAGTTGCTATTTTAAAGCCAAATAATTTTATATGTATTTTTATTAAATCAATTTTTGATTTGGTTCATTGTTCAAGTTCATTCACATTTTTGACTGGATTTTCTATCATAATATTAATGTCTGCTAACACAACATTTTAGTCACTCTATTAGAACCTGTTTTATAGGTTGTCAGTAATTAATGTCACTGGTAAATTGTTAATCAACAGTGGAATCAACAATATTATTTTTAATAGCATATTCCAACATCTTACAAGAAGAAAGGGGAGGAGGACAGGAGGACGGGAGGAAGAGCAGGAGGAAGAAGAGGATGAAAAAGAAGAGAGACTCTGTCAAACTTTTTTTTTTTCTGGATATCATGATATTACATATGATCTACTAGTCTAAGAGAGACCATTAAGTTTGCTCTGACAGTTCTCCAGTGAATCCATCATGGATCTTTGTGATGCCTATGCTATTATTTCTGAGGTTTTACAGCATTTTGAGAAGCATTAATGTCAAACTTCTCAGTATGTTGCTTCCTGTTGCTTCCAGGAGACTTCTATACTCAATGAATACTTTTTAATAATATAACTTTTTTAATAGCTCATTTTCCAAAACTTCCTATTTTTACTATTATTTTGTAAACATTACCAGTAGTATTTTTGTTTTTGTTTTTGAGAGAAAGTCTAACTCTGTTGCCCAGGCTGGAGTAACTCTGTTGCCCAGTCTGGAGTGGTGCGATCTCGGCTCACTGCAGTCTCCACCTCCTGGGTTCAAGCAATTCTTCTGCCTCAGCCTCCCGAGTAGCTGGGACTACAGGCACCCGCCACCATGCCCTGTTAACTTTTGTATTTTTAGTAGAGATGGGGTTTTACCATATTGGGCAGGCTGGTCTCGAACTCCTGACCTCGAGATCTGCCCACATCGGCCTCCCAAAGTTCTGTGATTACAGGCACCGTGCCCGGCCACCAGTAGTAATCTTTACTCACCTCTATAAACTTTCCAGTGAACTTGAATATAATATTTAAAAGAATTTATAATTTTTGTATTCGTATTTTACATCCACAATTTCCCAATATGACTTAGTAAAATGTTATTCCAAGTCTTGCCTGAGGAGACATGGAAAGCACTAGGGTACACAGACTGTCATACGGCCCCCAGTGATCCCTGTTCCATGCCCTCATAGATTTCCTTCCCCTCTTGTGTGGGCTACACTTATTGATTAACTTCTATTGAATAGAATACGATAGAGATGATAAAATGTCATTTCCAAAATTAGGTTATAAAAAGACCGTGGTTTCTGTCTTGGGCATAATCTCTCTCACTCTTTCTTTTGTATTATTCACCCTGGAAAAAAATCAGCTGTAATGTTGTATGGTATCCCTGTAGATAGGTCCAGGTGGTGAAACGTCAAGTCCCACCAAAAACCACATAAGTAAACCTGGAGGCAGACCTTCCTTTCTGCAATGGACCTCTGAAAGAGGATTACAGCCACAGCTGAATGCTTGAGAAAAACTTCGTGATATATCTGAAGCCAGGGGTTATTGGTTAAGCCATATTCACATAGATACTTGACTGTCAAAAATTGTAAGACAATAAATATTTATAGTTTTAAACTGCCAAATTTTGGGGGCAGTTTGTTACAGATTGTCAATATAGGCACTAAAGTGGCAGATTCTACACTTTCTTTTTTTTTTCTTTTTTTTTAAAATTATTATTATACTTTAAGTTTTAGGGTACATGTGCACATTGTGCAGGTTAGTTACATATGTATACATGTGCCATGCTCCTGCGCTGCACTCACTATCTCATCATCTAGCATTAGGTATATCTCCCAATGCTATCCCTCCCCCCCTCCCCCCACCAAACAACAGTCCCCAGAGTGTCATATTCCCCTTCCTGTGTCCATGTGATCTCATTGTTCAATTCCCACCTATGAGTGAGAATATGCGGTGTTTGGTTTTTTTTTCTTGCAATAGTTTACTGAGAATGATGATTTCCAATTTCATCCATGTCCCTACAAAGGACATGAACTCATCCTTTTTTATGGCTGCATAGTTTTCCATGGTGTATATGTGCCACATTTTCTTAATCCAGTCTATCATTGTTGGACATTTGGGTTGGTTCCAAGTCTTTGCTATTGTGAATAATGCTGCAATAAACATACGTGTGCATGTGTCTTTATAGCAGCATGATTTATAGTCCTTTGGGTATATACCCAGTAATGGGATGGCTGGGTCAAATGGTATTTCCAGTTCTAGATCACTGAGGAATCGCCACACTGACTTCCACAATGGTTGAACTAGTTTACAATCCCACCAACAGTGTAAAAGTGTTCCTATTTCTCCACATCCTATCCAGCACCTGTTGTTTCCTGACTTTTTAATGATTGCCATTCTAACTGGTGTGAGATGGTATCTCATTGTGGTTTTGATTTGCATTTCTCTGATGGCCAGTGATGATGAGCATTTTTTCATGTGTTTTTTGGCTGCATAAATGTCTTCTTTTGAGAAGGGTCTATTCATGTCCTTTGCCCACTTTTTGATGGGGTCGTTTGTTTTTTTCTTGTAAATTTGTTTGAGTTCATTGTAGATTCTGGATATTAGCCCTTTGTCAGATGAGTAGGTTGCAAAAATTTTCTCCCATTTTGTAGGTTGCCTGTTCACTCTGATGGTAGTTTCTTTTGCTGTGCAGAAGCTCTTTAGTTTAATTAGATCCCATTTGTCAATTTTGGCTTTTGTTGCCATTGCTTTTGGTGTTTTAGACATGAAGTCCTTGCCCATGCCTATGTCCTGAATGGTAATGCCTAGGTTTTCTTCTAGGGTTTTTATGGTTTTAGGTCTAACGTTTAAGTCTTTAATCCATCTTGAATTGATTTTTGTATAAGGTGTAAGGAAGGGATCCAGTTTCAGCTTTCTACATATGGCTAGCCAGTTTTCCCAGCACCATTTATTAAATAGGGAATCCTTTCCCCATTTCTTGTTTTTGTCAGGTTTGTCAAAGATCAGATAGCTGTATATATGCGACGTTATTTCTGAGGGCTCTGTTCTGTTCCATTGATCTATATCTCTGTTTTGGTACCAGTATCATGCTGTTTTGGTTACTGTAGCCTTGCAGTATAGTTTGAAGTCAGGTATTGTGATGCCTCCAGCTTTGTTCTTCTGGCTTAGGATTGACGTGGCGATGCGGGCTCTTTTTTGGTTCCATATGAACTTTAAAGTAGTTTTTTCCAATTCTGTGAAGAAAGTCATTGGTAGCTTGATGGGGATGGCATTGAATCTGTAAATTACCTTGGGCAGTATGGCCATTTTCACGATATTGATTCTTCCTACCCATGAGCATGGAATGTTCTTCCATTTGTTTGTATCCTCTTTTATTTCCTTGAGCAGTGGTTTGTAGTTCTCCTTGAAGAGGTCCTTAACATCCCTTGTAAGTTGGATTCCTAGGTATTTTATTCTCTTTGAAGCAATTGTGAATGGGAGTTCACTCATGATTTGGCTCTCTGTTTGTCTGTTGTTGGTGTATAAGAATGCCTGTGATTTTTGTACATTGATCTTGTATCCTGAGACTTTGCTGAAGTTGCTTATCAGCTTAAGGAGATTTTGGGCTGAGACAATGGGGTTTTCTAGATATACAATCATGTCCTCTGCAAACAGGGACAATTTGACTTCCTCTTTTCCTAATTGAATAGCCTTTATTTCCTTCTCCTGCCTAATTGCCCTGGCCAGAACTTCCAACACTACGTTGAATAGGAGTGGTGAGAGAGGGCATCCCTGTCTTGTGCCAGTTTTCAAAGGGAATGCTTCCAGTTTTTGCCCATTCAGTATGATATTGGCTGTGGGTTTGTCATAGATAGCTCTTATTATTTTGAAATATGTCCCATCAATACCTAATTTATTGAGAGTTTTTAGCATGAAGCATTGTTGAATTTTGTCAAAGGCTTTTTCTGCATCTATTGAGATAATCATGTGGTTTTTGTCTTTGGCTCTGTTTATATGCTGGATTACCTTTATTGATTTGTGTATATTGAACCAGCCTTGCATCCCAGGGATGAAGCCCACTTGATCATGGTGGATAAGCTTTTTGATGTGCTGCTGGATTCGTTTTGCCAGTATTTTATTGAGGATTTTTGCATCAATGTTCATCAAGGATATTGATCTAAAATTTTCTTTTTTTGTTGTGTCTCTGCCTGGCTTTGGTATCAGAATGATGCTGGCTTCATAAAATGAGTTAGGGAGGATTCCCTCTTTTTCTGTTGATTGGAATAGTTTCAGAAGGAATGGTACCAGTTCCTCCTTGTACCTCTGGTAGAATTCGGCCGTGAATCCATCCGGTCCTGGACTCTTTTTGGTTGGTAAGCTATTGATTATTGCCACAATTTCAGATCCTGTTATTGGGCTATTCAGAGATTCAACTTCTTCCTGGTTTAGTCTTGGGAGAGTGTATGTGTCGAGGAATTTATCCATTTCTTCTAGATTTTCTAGTTTATTTGCATAGAGGCGTTTGTAGTATTCTCTGATGGTAGTTTGTATTTCTGTGGGATCGGTGGTGATATCCCCTTTATCATTTTTTATTGCGTCTATTTGATTCTTCTCTCTTTTTTTCTTTATTAGTCTTGCTAGTGGTCTATCTATTTTGTTGATCCTTTCAAAAAACCAGCTCCTGGATTCATTAATTTTTTGAAGGGTTTTTTGTGTCTCTATTTCCTTCAGTTCTGCTCTGATTTTAGTTATTTCTTGCCTTCTGATAGCTTTTGAATGTGTTTGCTCTTGCTTTTCTAGTTCTTTTAATTGTGATGTTAGGGTGTCAATTTTGGATCTTTCCTGCTTTCTCTTGTGGACATTTAGTGCTATAAATTTCCCTGTACACACTGCTTTGAATGTGTCCCAGAGATTCTGGTATGTTGTGTCTTTGTTCTCGTTGGTTTCAAAGAACATCTTTATTTCTGCCTTCATTTCGTTATGTACCCAGTAGTTATTCAGGAGCAGGTTGTTCAGTTTCCATCTAGTTGAGCGGCTTTGAGTGAGATTCTTAATCCTGAGTTCTAGTTTGATTGCACTGTGGTCTGAGAGATAGTTTGTTATAATTTCTGTTCTTTTACATTTGCTGAGGAGAGCTTTACTTCCAAGTATGTGGTCAATTTTGGAATAGGTGTGGTGTGGTGCTGAAAAAAATGTATATTCTGTTGATCTGGGGTGGAGAGTTCTGTAGATGTCTATTAGATCCACTTGGTGCAGAGCTGAGTTCAATTCCTGGATATCCTTGTTGACTTTGTGTCTTGTTGATCTGTCTAACGTTGACAGTGGGGTGTTAAAGTCTCCCATTATTAATGTGTGGGAGTCTAAGTCTCTTTGTAGGTCACTCAGGACTTGCTTTATGAATCTTGGTGCTCCTGTATTGGGTGCATATATATTTAGGATAGTTAGCTCTTCTTGTTGAATTGATCCCTTTACCATTATGTAATGGCCTTCTTTGTCTCTTTTGATCTTTGTTGGTTTAAAGTCTGTTTTATCAGAGACTAGGATTGCAACCCCTGCCTTTTTTTGTTTTCCATTTGCTTGGTAGATCTTCCTCCATCCTTTTATTTTGAGCCTATGTGTGTCTCTGCACGTGAGATGGGTTTCCTGAATACAGCACACTGATGGGTCTTGACTCTTTATCCAATTTGCCAGTCTGTGTCTTTTAATTGGAGCATTTAGTCCATTTACATTTAAAGTTAATATTGTTATGTGTTAATTAATCCTCTCCTTGGAGGTTGGAGAAAATGGCATTGGAGTTGGGTCCTGAAGGAGTGCTGGGATTCCAGTCGCCATCCACTGGGGATGGGCTTTTTCAGGTAAGAGTGGGGGTCAGGAGTGGGGGTAAGGTGTCACTCTGCAGCAGCTGGACTGGCCTGGAATTGCAGAGCAAAGGCCAGCCAGGCTGGAATGGAGGATGCATGAGCAGGGAGCAGGCCACGGCATGGGGGCTACGATGCCCTGAAGAGGGGTCAGAATTGCTGGGCATGCTGCGACGTTTCTGTTGGAAAGATTAAGTGTGAGCCATTCAGATGGTGGTATGTGGAAGAGGGCCATTTGAGGAACCCAGATGGCATAGAGATGAAGTCAAACTGGGACGCACCCCCCAGCAGGGGCACACTGACACCTCACACAGCAGAGTATTCCAACAGACCTGCAGCTGAGGGTCCTGTCTGTTACAAGGAAAACTAACAAACAGAAAACACATCCACACCAAAAACCCATCTGTACATCACCATCATCAAAGACCAAAAGTAGATAAAACCACAAAGATGGGGAAAAAACAGAACAGAAAAACTGGAAACTCTAAAAAGCAGAGCGCCTCTCTCCTCCAAAGGAACGCAGTTCCTCACCAGCAACGGAACAAAGCTGGACGGACAATGACTTTGACGAGCTGAGAGAAGAAGGCTTCAGATGATCAAATTACTCTGAGCTACGGGAGGACATTCAAACCAAAGGCAAAGAAGTTGAAAACTTTGAAAAAAATTTAGAAGAATGTATAACTAGAATAACCAATACAGAGAAGTGCTTAAAGGAGCTGATGGAGCTGAAAACCAAGGCTCGAGAACTACGTGAAGAATGCAGAAGCCTCAGGAGCCGATGCGATCAACTGGAAGAAAGGGTATCAGCGATGGAAGATGAAATGAATGAAATGAAGTGAGAAGGGAAGTTTAGAGAAAAAAGAATAAAAAGAAATGAGCAAAGCCTCCAAGAAATATGGGACTGTGTGAAAAGACCAAATCTACGTCTGATTGGTCTACCTGAAAGTGATGGGGAGAATGGAACCAAGTTGGAAAACACGCTGCAGGATATTATCCAGGAGAACTTCCCCAATCTAGCAAGGCAGGCCAACGTTCAGATTCAGGAAATACAGAGAACGCCACAAAGATACTCCTCGAGAAGAGCAACTCCAAGACACATAATTGTCAGATTCACCAAAGTTGAAATGAAGGAAAAAATGTTAAGGGCAGCCAGAGAGAAAGGTCAAGTTACCCTCAAAGGGAAGCCCATCAGACTAACAGCGGATCTCTCAGCAGAAACCCTACAAGCAAGAAGAGAGTGGGGGCCAATATTCAACATTCTTAAAGAAAAGACTTTTCAACCCAGAATTTCATATCCAGCCAAACTAAGCTTCATAAGTGAAGGAGAAATAAAATACTTTACAGACAAGCAAATGCTGAGAGATTTTGTCACCACCAGGCCTGCCCTAAAAGAGCTCCTGAAGGAAGCGCTAAATATGGAAAGGAACAACTGGTACCAGCCGCTGCAAAATCATGCCAGATTCTATACTTTCTTAATGTAGAATCTGAATTTTATATTGCCTTCACCATAGATTTTCATAAGTTATATCAACAATGAAAGAGCCAGCTAAACAAAGTCATAGAAAATCAAATAGAAAATTCCAAATTATCTAGCTAGTATCTGCAGCATTAATAGTGTTGAAATTAAGTCTTAATGCTTAGATATAAGTGTATCAGTTAACAGGTTAAGAGTAGTAATCCTTGAAGCACATAAAATTGCTATAGGAGATTATTTTGCTACAGTGTTATACAATTACCAATTCTTCAGTGGCGACCGCTTCTAATAGGTATATCAAGGAAATACTAGATTGAATTAAATTTAATATTATTTATAATTTTTTGATAGAGATATGTTTTCCTTAGAGGCTATTATTCTTTTACTTGACAAAACTGAGTCCTCAGGAAATACATATTATATTGCTACTGTTTGGTTGGCTCATCATTTATAACAAAAATAACTAGGATATATAATATGTCTCTTTTATTCTTCACTCAGTAACATTTTGAGGTAGTTATTATGATTAACACTTTTTAAAAAGAGACATTGTGATTCAGGGAATTTTAGTAGATTTTGTGGCTGAAGTGCAAACGATAATAGGAGTTTTTGAATCTCATTAAAACAATAAAAATTGCAATTCCTTAGATATGATGACCCTTCCAAAGTGTTTCATAAAACACTAGTTTTGTCAGATGTTAAGATGTGTTATATTGGAATCAAATAACTTGGAAAATACTGGATAATAAGTATTTAAACAGTCTTTGTCACTTCTGAAATTTCAAAGCAGTTACAAATTCTACATTGTGAATCATTTTGCTTTGTGAATTTTTACGTTATAACATATATCAAGAAAAGTGTACTACAAATCATGTGCACAGCACTATGAAAATTTTCACAAAATAGAATATTCATGTTACAGCATCCAGATCAAAAGATAGAATATTACTAGTAACCCAGAAGTCCTCATCATGATGTTTCCCTTCATAAAACCTCAAGCCCATGGCTAATAACTACTGATTTCTAATGTCTTTTTAAAAAATCATTTTATAAATGCAAACATATGTCTTTTTTGTTCAGCATTATACTTGGGAATTCACACATTTTTGTGTGTAGTTTCAGTTCATTCATTCTCATTGCTGTTTAATATTCTAGTTATGAATATATCACAATGTATGAATTCATTATTGCAATGGAAATGTGAATGTTTCTAAATGAAAATTATTGTGAAATCACTGCTAATGATTATTCTGGTATGTTTCTCTTTTTTTGTCAATGTTTGGTTATTTTTTTTTTTTTGTATTTGTCTTTTGGTGGACATATTCTTGATTATTGGAGAGTTAGAATTGCAGGTAAACAGGGTATGGTTCCTGATACAGTCTGAATTTTTATGTCCCCCCAAATTTCATATATTGAAACTTAATTCACAACAAGACATCACATCTGCCAGCACTTTGATCTTTGACTTCCCAGCCTCTAGGACAATGAGAAATACATTTCTGTTGTTCATAACCTACCTAGTTTATGGTATTTTTTTGTAGCAGCCCAAATAGACTATGACTGAGACAGCTATGTCGAGTATTAGTAGAAAGAGCAAAAAAGTTTTCCAAAGTCGCCATACCAATTTACCTCCCAATGCAGTGTATAAAGAGTTTCCCTTTGACTCATTCTCTTGCAGAACTTTAGCTGGCTTTTCTATTTTTAACTTTCTTCTGGTGCAGTCTGATATTGTGGTTTAATTCACTCTTCTCAGGTGACAAATTATGGTGCAACACTGTATTTCATGATTGGCAATTGGATATCATATTACAGTGTCTTTTGATAAACTTATACTTTATTTTTAATTCACCTAATTTGCTAATTTTTCATTGGTAGCACTTTGTGTTCTATTTTATTAAAATCTGAGGCAGGAGAATGGCGTGAACCCGGGAGGCGGAGCTTGCAGTGAGCCGAGATCAGGCCACTGCACTCTAGCCTGGGTGACAGAGCGAGACTCTGTCTCAAAAATACAAAAACAACAACAACAACAACAGAAACCTTTATTCGATGTAATGTCATAAATATAGTTTCATCAATTGTCCTCTAAAATCTATTACCTTTTATGTTTAAATCTACAATCTATCTGGAATTGAGCTATCTGTGATGTGAGGTAATTCTCAAGTTATTTTATTTCCATGTGGATATACAATTTACCCATTACCTATTATATATTTCAAAAATCCTATCTCATTTCACTGTAGTCAGTCTTGTCTTTAATTAGGTGAATGTACATGTGAGAGTCTGTTTCTTGAGTCTATATTCTGGGTTATTAGTTTTTTTTATATATCCTTGTTCCAGTACTGCATGTACTGTTTTATTCCTTATGTACTTTTTCATAAATCTTGATCTCAGGTGTTCTATCAGCTATGATTATCTTCTTTAGTATTCATTGTTTTGTCTAGTCAAGATTATATGCACGTTCATATTAATTTTACAAACAGCTTGTCATTTAAAAAAATACTTGTTGAGAATCTGATAGAGATTAAATTTTATATATATATACACACACACATATATATATATGGAAGAATTTTTATGTTAACAGTATGAAGTCCTCTAATTAGTAGACATGGTCTATCACATTGTTCATTTAAGCCTTTGAAGTCCTTTAATAATGTTTTGTTCTTTCCAATATAGAGGAATTACATAAGTTTTGCTGAATGTATTACTAAGTAGTTGATGTTTTAATGCTGCTATAACTAATAATCTTTAAAACTTTTATTATTTATTATTGGTATATAAAAATAAAAATTATTTTTATATATTGGCCTTGTAGTGAACTGATACTATATCTGTGGATGTATTTGGATTTTCTACATAAATAAGCATAAATATTTCTTCTGCAAATAATTATAGTTTTATTTTTATTCTCATTTTCATTTATTCTTTCCTTATTAGATTTGCTAATTTTACCTCAAGGATAAAATTAAATAAAAATGGTAATGGGCCATTATTTTCTCATTAGCTATCTCAACTTTTTATAACACTGCAAAGTAAGATGTTTACAATAATATTTCAAAGGCATTATTTATTAAATTAATATATTTCTGTTCTATTTCTCGATTACTATGGATCTTAATTATGAATTGAATAATAAATATATTATCTATAAATTTTCTTCATTATTATATTTCCACATTTAATTTATTAAAAATGGTATTTATTGTGTTTTAAATATAAACCTCCCTCATATTTCTGAAATAAAAAACATTTTGTAATATTTTTATATGTATTTTAAAACGTTATTTGCTAACATTTTATTCAGGAATTGCTTCTATGTATATTAAATAAATTGGTACACCATTTTTTCCTTCAGCCTTTCTTAACAAATTTTTGTGTCAAAGTTATTCTTGTCCTCTAAAAGGATTGGGAAGTAGTGCCTACTTTTCTATTCTCTGCCAGAGTTTAAGATTAGAAAAGTTAACTATTTAAATATTTTAAAGAATTCATGTTGGAGCTAGGTTGGCCAGCAGCATTGTTCTTAGGAAGGTTTTAAATATGGATTTATTTCGATTAGGTATCCGAATAATCAGAGTTGCTATTTCTTCTATTTCCAATTTCTTAACTAAAGTTCTTCAAATAATTTTTCTATTTTGTCTCAGTAGATTTTTTTCTAGACATAAATTTACTGATAATTTGCCTAATTTTACTTTTACGGTCTGTAGTACCTGATATTGGCAACGGTCATTTTCTCCCATTTATCTTGTTGCATCTCGCTAGCTTTTCAAAAATCAATTTTAGTAATATTTTTCAATAAAACAATTTTCAGCTTGGTTAATTTTTAATATATTATTTTCTCATTCATTGTTTTATCTTGATATTTATTATTTTGAATTTTATTTACTCTTTTTTTCCTATTTTATCACAGATTGTTTAATAAAAACCAAAAAAACAAACAAAAAGAAAAAAATGGCCTGGTGCAGTGGATTACAGGCATACACCTGTAATCCCAGCACTTTGGAGGCCAAGGTGGGGAGATCACTTAAGCCCAGGAATTTAAGACCAGCCTGCGCAACATGGCAGAACCCTGTATCTACAAAAAATTTACAGGCTTGGTGGTGCACATGCAGTCTCAGCTACCGGGGAGGCAAAAGTGGGAGGATCTATTGAGCCTGGAGATCGCGGCTGCAGCGAGCCATGATCACGCCACTGCACTTCAGCCTGGGCTACAGAGTGAGACCTTCTTTCAAGATAACAAACGAACAAAAAATTTCGTTCTTCTTAAGAAGGTATTTAAGCTTAACTTCAAACTATTTCTTAAAAGTAGGCAGAAGTAAAATTTCACATATTTTAATATGTTGAATTTTCATTATCGTTCAATTCAAAATATTTAAAAGTTTCTATTTTGTAATCAGTTAATATTGTTAATGAAATAAAGACCACAGTTCAATATTATATATATTCGCAAATTAAACAAGTCAATTGTAATATAATAAAATGAGAAAAAATAAAACTAATATTAGGCCACATATTTACCTTTTTTGGTGTCTATATTCTTTCCTGCACATCTGAGTTTCTATCTTTTGTAGTTTTTCTTCAGCTCAGAGAATGGCTTTGACCCAGGCATGGTAGCTCATGTTGGTAATCCCAGAACTTTAGGAGGCTAATGCAGGCAGATCGCTTGAGCCCAGAACTTCAAGACCAGCTTGGGCAACAAGGTGAAACCCCTTATCTACAAAAATAAAAATAAAATAAAATAAAAATGTAGGTGTGTGTAGTGGCATGCACCTGGAGTTCCAGCTACTTGTCAGGCAGAAATGGAAGGATCACTTGAGCCCAGGATGTCGAAGCTGCAGTGAGCTGTAATTGTGCTACTGCACTCTATCCTGGGAGACACAGTGAGACTCTGTCTCAATATAATAATAATAAAATAAAATATTTGGCCTTTTGCAATACAGATATACTGGTGATTCAGTCTCTCACCTTCACTATGTCTGAAAACAAGTTTTTATTAAACTTTTATTTTTTAAAGTTTTTTTTTCTTTAAGTTCTGTGATACATGTGCAGAACATGCAGGTTAGCTACATGGGTATACATGTGTCATGGTGGTTTGCTGCACCTATCAACCCATCATCTAAGTTTTAAGCTCCATATGCATTACGTATTTATCCTAATGCTCTACCTCCCCTTTCCCCCCACCCCCCGACAGGCCCTGGTGAGTGATGTTCCTCTCCCTGTGTCCATGTGTTCTAATTGTTCAACTTCCACTTATGAGTGAGAACATGCAGTGTTTAGTTTTCCATTCCTTTGTCAGTTTGCTGAGAACTATGGCTTCCAGCTTCATTCATGTTCCTACAAAGGACATGAACTCATTCTTTTTTATGGCTGCATAGTATTCCATGGTATATGTGTGCCACATTTTCTTTATCCAGTCTATCATTGATGAGCATTTGGGTTGGTTCCAAGTCTTTGCTATTGTAAATAGTGCTGCAATAAACACATATGTGCATGTGTCTTTATAGTAGAATGATTTATAATCCTTTGGGTGTATACCCAGTAATGGGATTGCTGGTTCAAATGGTATTTCTGGTTCTAGATGCTTGAGGAATTGCCACACTGTCTTCCACAATGGTTTAACTAATTTACACTCCCAACAACAGTGTAAAAGTTTTTTAACTGAGTATAAAAATCTTCTTTTCTCTCTTTTATCAGAATAGTAAAAATATCTTCCACTGTCTTCTGGCTTCCATAGTTTCCTTATGAGAAGTTGGTTATATTTCTGACTGTTGTTTCCCAAAATATGATACACCATTTTTGTGTGTTTTTCAAAATGTTTTCAATAGCTTTGACCTTTAGTAGTTTTATTATAATGGACCTGTATGTATTTTTTCTTTGTACTCAACATGATATGGTTTATCAAACTTCTTGGATCTATAAGATGATGTCTTCACCAAATTGGGAGAAGTTTTAGGTACCGTTTATTCAATTATTCCTTTCTGCTTTTTTTTTTTTTTTGGTCCTCCTTTTCTATAACTCCAACTATACATGTGATGCTTAGTTTTATATTATCCCAAAATGCTGCATTTTTGTCTTTTTTTCTCTGTATTTGATACTTTCTATTAATTTGTATTCAGTGTCACTGGCCATTTCTTCTTCAATGTACAATCTGCTATTAATCTTATGCAGTTTTTCTAAATTTTATTTTAGAAATGGTATTTTTTTAGTTCTATACTTTTCACATGATTCTTGTTCAAAGTTGACTTTATCTGCTGGCATATCCTGTGCATTCATTATCATAATTACCTTTCCCTTTAAGTCCTTGAATGTATTTGAAAAATCTGCTTACAGTATTTAACTTTTTTTATTGACTTTTTAAACTGACCTTCAATTACATTTTTCTGTTTCTTCACATATCTAGCAATGTTGATTCTATGTTGGAGATTTTGGAAGATATGCCATAGGACCCTGGATTCTGTCATTTTCCCTTGAGAAGCATTGATAAAAATGAAATTACTGTTTGATGACTTTTAACTTGTACAAGCTTGGTTTATACACTTTAAGAGTAGATTTGTTTTGACTTTGGACTTTTTCTTGGTGCAAATCTCTTCTATAACACAGTCTTTGCTCTTAAGACACAATAGTTCTAGAAGTTCATTGGAAAATCTGTTTTGTTTACAAATATTCTGTAGCTTATTAAGATTTAATCTCAAAAGTCTGTCTACCATGTGACGGGTTGAGGCAGAAATCTATGCCTAGATATACTTTTTAAAACCTATCAGCTATTGCTCTCCATTGGAATTTTTGAAGTCTCCCCAATACATGCACAGTTAAGATGCCAGCCATGGATTTGAGGTATTTTTTTTTTTTTTTTCAGATACTAGAGCTCTCTTCTCTGTGGCTTGTATCTTTCCAGGACTCTTTCCCTTAATTTTTATCTGTTCTGACAAACTTGAACTCAGTACCCTGAACCCTTAATTAGTAAGATGACAAATTTCTGCCTTCATTTTAGCTACCACAAGCTGTATAGACAAAGACATAATATCAAGGGAAATGCCATATAAACATGGACTCATTCAGGATAGATGAGTTAAGAGGTTAAAATTTTCCACTTTCAGCTTGTCTTTATTCTGCCTCTTGTGCCTTCAATTTTTTAAACTGTATTTTTTCCATTATTTATAATTATTGCCTACAGAAGGGTTATTTTTGTATAAGCTATTCTTTTTTTTTTCTTTTCTTTTTTTCTTTTATTATTATACTTTAAGTTTTAGGGTACATGTGCACATTGTGCAGGTTAGTTACATATGTATACATGTACCATGCTGGTGTGCTGCACCCACTAACTTGTCGTCTAGCATTAGGTATATCTCCCAATGCTATCCCTCCCCCCTCCCCCCACCACACAACAGTCCCCAGAGTGTGATGTTCCCCTTCCTGTGTCCATGTGATCTCATTGTTCAATTCCCACCTATGAGTGAGAATATGCGGTGTTTGGTTTTTTGTTCTTGCTATAGTTTACTGAGAATGATGATTTCCAATTTCATCCATATCCCTACAAAGGACATGAACTCATCATTTTTTATGGCTGCATAGTATTCCATGGTGTATATGTGCCACATTTTCTTAATCCAGTCTATCATTGTTGGATATTTGGGTTGGTTCCAAGTCTTTGCTATTGTGAATAGTGCCACAATAAACATACGTGTACATGTGTCTTTATAGCAGCATGATTTATAGTCCTTTGGGTATATACCCAGTAATGGGATGGCTGGGTCAAATGGTATTTCTAGTTCTAGATCCCTGAGGAATTGCCACACTGACTTCCACAATGGTTGAACTAGTTTACAGTCCCACCAACAGTGTAAAAGTGTTCCTATTTCTCCACATCCTCTCCAGCACCTGTTGTTTCCTGCTTTTTTAATGATTGCCATTCTAACTGGTGTGTGATAGTATCTTATTGTGGTTTTGATTTGCATTTCTCTGATGGCCAGTGATGTTGAGCATTTTTTCATGTGTTTTTTGGCTGCATAAATGTCTTCTCTTGAGAAGTGTCTGTTCATGTCCTTTGCCCATTTTTGATGGGGTTGTTTGTTTTTTTCTTGTAAATTTGTTTGAGTTCATTGTAGATTCTGGATATTAGCCCTTTGTCAGATGAGTAGGTTGCGAAAATTTTCTCCCATTCTGTAGGTTGCCTGTTCACTCTGATGGTAGTTTCTTTTGCTGTACAGAAGCTCTTTAGTTTAATTAGATCCCATTTGTCAATTTTTTCTTTTGTTGCCATTGCTTTTGGTGTTTTAGACATGAAGTCCTTGCCCATGCCTATGTCCTGAATGGTAATGCCTAGGTTTTCTTCTAGGGTTTTTGTGGTTTTAGGTCTAACATTTAAGTCTTTAATCCATCTTGAATTGATTTTTGTATAAGGTGTAAGGAAGGGATCCAGTTTCAGCTTTCTACATATGGCTAGCCAATTTTCCCAGCACCATTTATTAAATAAGGAATCCTTTCCCCATTGCTTGTTTGTGTCAGGTTTGTCAAAGATCAGATAGCTGTATATATGCGGCGTTATTTCTGAGGGCTCTGTTCTGTTCCATTGATCTATATCTCTGTTTTGGTACCAGTACCATGCTGTTTTGGTTACTGTAGCCTTGCAGTATAGTTTGAAGTCAGGTAGTGTGATGCCTCCAGCTTTGTTCTTCTGGCTTAGGATTGACTTGGCGATGCGGGCTCTTTTTTGGTTCCATATGAACTTTAAAGCAGTTTTTTCCAACTCTGTGAAGAAAGTCATTGGTAGCTTGATGGGGATGGCATTGAATCTATAAATTACCATGGGCAGTATGGCCATTTTCACGATATTGATTCTTCCTACCCATGAGCATGGAATGTTCTTCCATTTGTTTGTATCCTCTTTTATTTCCTTGAGCAGTGGTTTGTAGTTCTCCTTGAAGAGGTCCTTAACATCCCTTGTAAGTTGGATTCCTAGGTATTTTATTCTCTTTGAAGCAATTGTGAATGGGAGTTCACTCATGATTTGGCTCTCTGTTTGTCTGTTGTTGGTGTATAAGAATGCCTGTGATTTTTGTACATTGATCTTGTATCCTGAGACTTTGCTGAAGTTGCTTATCAGCTTAAGGAGATTTTGGGCTGAGACAATGGGGTTTTCTAGATATACAATCATGTCCTCTGCAAACAGGGACAATTTGACTTCCTCTTTTCCTAATTGAATAGCCTTTATTTCCTTCTCCTGCCTAATTGCCCTGGCCAGAACTTCCAACACTATGTTGAATAGGAGTGGTGAGAGAGGGCATCCCTGTCTTGTGCCAGTTTTCAAAGGGAATGCTTCCAGTTTTTGCCCATTCAGTATGATATTGGCTGTGGGTTTGTCATAGATAGCTCTTATTATTTTGAAATATATCCCATCAATACCTAATTTATTGAGAGTTTTTAGCATGAAGGTTGTTGAATTTTGTCAAAGGCCTTTTCTTCATCTATTGAGATAATCATGTGGTTTTTGTCTTTGGCTCTGTTTATATGCTGGATTACATTTATTGATTTGCGTATATTGAACCAGCCTTGCATCCCAGGGATGAAGCCCACTTGATCATGGTGGATAAGCCTTTTGATGTGCTGCTGGATTCGGTTTGCCAGTATTTTATTGACGATTTTTGCATCAATGTTCATCAAGGATATTGATCTAAAATTCTCTTTTTTTGTTGTGTCTCTGCCCGGCTTTGGTATCAGGATGATGCTGGCCTCAGAAAATGAGTTAGGGAGGATTCCCTCTTTTTCTATTGATTGGAATAGTTTCAGAAGGAATGGTACCAGTTCCTCCTTGTACCTCTGGTAGAATTCGGCTGTGAATCCGTCTGGTCCTGGACTCTTTTTGCTTGGTAAGCTATTGATTATTGCCACAATTTCAGATCCTGTTATTGGGCTATTCAGAGATTCAACTTCTTCCTGGTTTAGTCTTGGGAGAGTGTATGTGTCGAGGAATTTATCCATTTCTTCTAGATTTTCTAGTTTATTTGCGTAGAGGTGTTTGTAGTATTCTCTGATGGTAGTTTGTATTTCTGTGGGATCAGTGGTGATATTCCCTTTATCATTTTTTATTGCGTGTATTTGATTCTTCTCTCTTTTTTTCTTTATTAGTCTTGCTAGCGGTCTATCTATTTTGTTGATCCTTTCAAAAAACCAGCTCCTGGATTCATTAATTTTTTGAAGGCTTTTTGTGTCTCTATTTCCTTCAGTTCTGCTCTGATTTTAGTTATTTCTTGCCTTCTGCTAGCTTTTGAATGTGTTTGCTCTTGCTTTTCTAGTTCTTTTAATTGTGATGTTAGGGTGTCAATTTTGGGTCTTCCCTGCTTTCTCTTGTGGACATTTAGTGCTATAAATTTCCCTGTACACACTGCTTTGAATGTGTCCCAGAGATTCTGGTATGTTATGTCTTCATTCTTGTTGGTTTCAAAGAACATCTTTATTTCTGCCTTCATTTTGTCATGTACCCAGTAGTCATTCAGGAGCAGATTGTTCAGTTTCCATGTAGTTAAGCGGTTTTGAGTGAGATTCTTAATCCTGAGTTCTAGTTTGATTGCACTGTGGTCTGAGAGATAGTTTGTTACAATTTCTGTTCTTTTACATTTGCTGAGGAGAGCTTTACTTCCAAGTATGTGGTCAATTTTGGAATATGTGTGGTGTGGTGCTGAAAAAAATGTATATTCTGTTGATTTGGGGTGGAGAGTTCTGTAGATGTCTATTAGGTCTGCTTGGTGCAGAGCTGAATTCAATTCCTGGGTATCCTTGTTGACTTTCTGTCTCGTTGATCTGTCTAATGTTGACAGTGGGGTGTTAAAGTCTCCCATTATTAATGTGTGGGAGTCTAAGTCTCTTTGTAGGTCACTCAGGACTTGCTTTATGAATCTGGGTCCTCCTGTATTGGGTGCATATATATTTAGGATGGTTAGCTCTTCTTGTTGAATTGATCCCTTTACCATTAAGTAATGGCTTTCTTTGTCTCTTTTGATCTTTGTTGGTTTAAAGTCTGTTTTATCAGAGACTAGGATTGCAACCCCTGCCTTTTTTTGTTTTCCATTTGCTTGGTAGATTTTCCTCCATTCTTTTATTTTGAGCCTATGTGTGTCTCTGCACGTGAGATGGGTTTCCTGAATACAGCACACTGATGGGTCTTGACTCTTTATCCAATTTGCCAGTCTGTGTCTTTTAATTGGAGCATTTAGTCCATTTACATTTAATGTTAATATTGTTATGTGTGAATTTGATCCTGTCATTATGATGTTAGCTGGTTATTTTGCTCATTAGTTGATGCAGTTTCTTCCTAGTCTCAATGGTCTTTACATTTTGGCATGATTTTGCAGCAGCTGGTACCAGTTGTTCCTTTCCATGTTTAGTGCTTCTTTCAGGAGCTCTTTTAGGGCAGGCCTGGTGGTGACAAAATCTCTCAGCATTTGCTTGTCTGTAAAGTATTTTATTTCTCCTTCACTTATGAAGTTAGTTTGGCTGGATATGAAATTCTGGGTTGAAAATTCTTTTCTTTAAGAATGTTGAATATTGGCCCCCACTCTCTTCTGGCTTGTAGGGTTTCTGCCGAGAGATCCGCTGTTAGTCTGATGGCCTTCCCTTTGAGGGTAACCCGACCTTTCTCTCTGGCTGCCCTTAACATTTTTTCCTTCATTTCAACTTTGGTGAATCTGACAATTATGTGTCTTGGAGTTGCTCTTCTCGAGGAGTATCTTTGTGGCGTTCTCTGTATTTCCTGAATCTGAACGTTGGCCTGCCTTGCTAGATTGGGGAAGTTCTCCTGGATAATATCCTGCAGCGTGTTTTCCAACTTGGTTCCATTCTCCCCATCACTTTCAGGTAGACCAATCAGACGTAGATTTGGTCTTTTCACACAGTCCCATATTTCTTGGAGGCTTTGCTCATTTCTTTTTATTCTTTTTTCTCTAAACTTCCCTTCTCACTTCATTTCATTCATTTCATCTTCCATCGCTGATACCCTTTCTTCCAGTTGATCGCATCGGCTCCTGAGGCTTCTGCATTCTTCACGTAGTTCTCGAGCCTTGGTTTTCAGCTCCATCAGCTCCTTTAAGCACTTCTCTGTATTGGTTATTCTAGTTATACATTCTTCTAAATTTTTTTCAAAGTTTTCAACTTCTTTGCCTTTGGTTTGAATGTCCTCCCGTAGCTCAGAGTAATTTGATCGTCTGAAGCCTTCTTCTCTCAGCTCGTCAAAGTCATTGTCCGTCCAGCTTTGTTCCGTTGCTGGTGAAGAACTGCGTTCCTTTGGAGGAGGAGAGGCGCTCTGCTTTTTAGAGTTTCCAGTTTTTCTGTTCTGTTTTTTCCCCATCTTTGTGGTTTTATCTACTTTTGGTCTTTGATGATGGTGATGTACAGATGGGTTTTTGGTGTGGATGTCCTTTCTGTTTGTTAGTTTTCCTTGTAACAGACAGGACCCTCAGCTGCAGGGCTGTTGGAGTACCCTGCTGTGTGAGGTGTCAGTGTGCCCCTGTTGGGGGGTGTCTCCCAGTTAGGCTGCTCGGGGGTCAGGGGTCAGGCACCCACTTGAGGAGGCAGTCTGCCCCTTCTCAGATCTCCAGCTGCGTACTGGGAGAACCATTGCTCTCTTCAAAGCTGTCAGACAGGGACATTTAAGTCTGCAGAGGTTACTGCTGTCTTTTTGTCTGTGCCCTGCCCCCAGAGGTGGAGCCTACAGAGGCAGGCAGGCCTCCTTGAGCTGTGGTGGGCTCCACCCAGTTTGAGCTTCCTGGCTGCTTTGTTTACCTCAGCAAGCCTGGGCAATGGCGGGCGCTCCTCCCCCAGCCTGGCTGCCGCCTTGCAGTTTGATCTCAGACTGCTGTGCTAGCAATCAGCGAGACTCCGTGGGTGTAGGACCCTCCGAGCCAGGTGCGTGATATAATCTCGTGGTGCGCCATTTTTTAAGCCCGTCGGAAAAGCTCAGTATTGGGGTGGGAGTGACCCGATTTTCCAGGTGCCGTCCTTCACCCCTTTCTTTGACTAGGAAAGGGAACTCCCTGACCCCTTGCGCTTCCCGAGTGAGGCAATGCCTAGCCCTGCTTCGGCTTGCGCACGGTGCACGCACCCACTGACCTGTGCCCACTGTCTGGCACTCCCTAGTGAGATGAACCCGGTACCTCAGATGGAAATGCAGAAATCACCCATCTTCTGCGTCGCTCACGCTGGGAGCTGTAGACCAGAGCTGTTCCTATTCGGCCATCTTGGCTCCTCCCGAAGCTATTCTATTATTATGAGCACTGAAATTCTTTTGGACTTTTTATTTTTTCTTAATTTTTAGACTTTATATACTAGAACAGATTTTTGCCTAGAGAAAAGTGAGCAGTTGATACAGTTCCTATAAATCCCCTCTAACCCTTTCTCACAGTTTCCTCTATTATTTACATTTTGTATTAGTGTGGTATAGTTGTTACAACTGATGAACTAATATAAACACATAATTATTATTTAAACTACATAGTTTACATTGTTTCATTCTTTGTGTTTACAGTTCTATAGATTTTGACAAATGCATGTCATGTACTCAACTTTATGGTATTATATAAGAAAGTTTTACTCTTAAAATTTCACTGTGCTCCAATTATTAATCATTCATCTCCTTCCCCCAAGTCCCTGGAAAACCACTGATCTACTATTCCTATAGTTTACCCTTTTCCAGAGTGCCGTATAGTTGGAATCATATAGTATGTCGCTTTTCAGACTGATTTCTTTGATTTAGAAATGTTCGTGTAAGGTTCTTCCATGTCTTTTCATATCTTGATAGCTCATTTCTTTTTATCACTGAATAATATTCCATTGTATGGATATACTAGTTTTTTATCCTTTCATATTTTGAAGTACATCTTGGTCACTTTCAGATTGAGGTAATTATGAGTTAAGCTGCCATAAACACTTGTGTACTGGTTCTTGTATGGATATATTTTCAACTCATTTGTGTAAATATGTAGAACAGTTGTTGGACTGCGGGGTAAGACATGTTTAGTTTTGTAGAAAACTGTCAAACTGTCTTCCAAAGTGGCTGAACTACCTTGCTTTCCCAGCAGCAATGAATGAGAATTCCTGTTGCTCTTCAGGCTCATCTGCATTTATAGGAGTATATATTTTTAATTATTGTTTTAATTTACAATTTCCTGATGAAATATGATGTTGAAAACTTTTCACATTCTTTTGCATTTTGGATATATGTACTTTATCATATATATATACACACATATATATATATACACACACACACATATATATATGTCCTTTATCAGGTATATATATATATTTTTTTACAAATATTTTTCCTAGAATGTGGCTTGTATCTTTATATTCTTAACAATGTCACTCATAGACTAGAATTTTTTTGTTTTATTTTAATAATATCCAACTTCTTACATTGTTTTGTCGTGGGTCAAGCTTTTGGTGGATGATTCCACCAATCTGCAGTGTGGTCACCTGAATTTTCCCTATGTTATATTTTAGAAATTTTACAGTTTTGCATGTTATGCTTAGGTTTATCATTCATTTTCAATTAAACTTTTGAAACATATAAAGTTAGTGTCCAGATTCATATTTTTTGCATCTCTCTTCATCTTATATTTAAAGTGGGTTTCTTCTGTACACCGATGATTAGCTCTTTTTTCTATCTGCTCTGTCATTCTTTGTCTATTAATTTTCGTATGTAGACCACTCACATTTAAAGTAAGTATTGATTGAATTGTATTAATATCTACCTTTTTTATTATTCCAGTCTTTGCACTTGTTCCTTTTTTTTTTTTTTTTTAATATTTCCCTCTTTCCTGTCTTCTTTGGCTTTGGTTTAGCATATATATGATTTCACTTTCTCTTCTCTCTTAGCATATAGATTATTCTTCCTTTTAATTTTTTGGTGATTTCCTTATGGTTTCTAGTATCAATTTATAACTAAGTCCACTTTCAAGTGACACTGTACCTCTTCATGGATAATGCAGGTTCCTTTTAACAGAATTTTCCTGATTTCTCCCTCCTGTACTTGCTGTCATTTATTTTACTTATAAATAAGCTATATTCAACCAATACATTATTACTGTTATTAGTTTGAACAAATAGTTATCTATTAGATTAATTAATAAGACAATTATAAGCTTTTATTTACTTTTATTTTTTAATGCTCTTTTGTTTATGAAGATCTGAGTTTCTGACTTACATCATTTTCTTAGTGTCTGCAAAACTTCTTTTAACATTTCTTGCAAGGCAGGTCTACTGGTGACAATTTTCCTCAGTTTTGATTTGTCTGAGAAAGTATTTCTTCTTTTTTGAAGGATAATTTTACTCGGTAAATAATTCTAGGTTGGAAGTTTTTTCCTCCTTTAATACTAAATGTTTTACTCCATTCAATTGCATGGTTTGTGAAGAGAAGACCAATGACAGTCTTTTTCTTCTTCCTCTACAGGTAAGGTGTTTTTTTTTGTTTTTTATTGTTGCTTTTTTTTTTCTTTTTCTTGTAGCATCTTTTAAGATTTTCTCTGTCATTGGTTTCCTGCAGTTTAAATATTACATGCTTAAGTGTAGACTTTTTGATATTTTTCCTGTTTGGTGTTGTCTGAGCCTTCTAGATGTGCGGTTTAGGTTTGTCACTTATTTTGGAATTTTTTCTGCCAATATTACTGCAAATATTTATTCCGCTCATTTCTCTCTTCCTTCTTCCCCTGATAATTTTATTATGCATACAGTATTTTTTATTTGTCTCATAACTTTTGAATATTCTGATCTTTTTCATTATTTTTGCCTTTAATTTTCAGTTCAGAAAGTGTCTATTGACATGTCTTCAAAATGACTGCTCAGTTATCTGCAGTGTACGATTATACCAATCTGAAATATTCTTTATTTCTCTACAGCATTTTTTCTTAGCATTTTCTTTTGAATTCTTTCTTAGAGTTTCAATTTCTCTGCCTTTGCTACACATCTATTCGTGCATATTTTTCACTTTTGCCTTGAGTAATTTTAGCATACATGGTTATGTAAGTATAATTTTGATTACATAGTTAAATTGTCTGATAATTTCCATGTATTTCTAAGTCTTATTGTAATGCTTTCTCTGTCACAGCAAACGGTGTTTTATGTCTTTTAGTATGTGTTATAGTTTTTTGTTTGTTTGTTTTTTGTTTTCTTAAGCTAGATCTGATGTTCCAAAATAGATCTGGAGTAAATTAGACTTGAGTGTGAGTTTTTATGTTTGTCTGCCTAGGAGTTAGGCTGTATACTGCCTGCAATAGCTGTGGGTGTCAGAAACTAAAATTTCCTCTGGTGTATTAGTTTTTGTTTTCTTTGTTATCTTTGGGTGTCCCTAGAGACCTCTTTAAAAAAAAAAAGACTGAGACTTGTAGTTCTTTCAGTAGTAATAATCTATTATTGTACAGAAATCTCATTGAAGTGGTTGTAGGTGTTGGAGAAGGAAAGAAGCTGTAGTCCTATGATTATATTTTAACCTGCTGGTGAGACTGTACCACTGAGATATGACTTTTGAAATTATCCTCAGCGTGTTTATTCCCCTGAAGTGATACAGGAAGCATAGACAGGGTTGCTATTCTCCATTTCAGATAATACTCCAGTAAAGTAGTTTTCCTTGAGGGCTGTTGTTTTTTTTTTTGTTGTTGTTGTTATAAGTAAATATCTTTACTTTTTAAAACTGCATTAGGAACACTTAACTTGAAATCTACCCTCTTAACAAATTTGTAACTATGCTTTAACAATACAGCATTGTTAAGTAGTACAATGTTGTACAGCAATTATCTGAACTTAGTCATCTCGTGTAACTGACATATTTTTTTAATAAATCCCTGTTTCCCCACCAGCCAGCCCCTGGCAGTCAGCCTTCCACTTTCTGTTTCTGAGTTTGACTATTTAAGGTACCTAAGCATAATCAAGCAGCAATTATCTTTCTGTTACTATCTATTTCGCTTAGCATAATGTCCTTCATGTCCATCCATGTTTTTGCATATGCATATAGAAAACTTCCTTCTTTTTAAAGGTTAAATTACATTCCTCACAAGTTACAGTTTCCTCTAATCTCTGCTCTGTTCAGGCTACATGGCGAAAGCTGGGGGTGGGCTGGAGAGAGGGCTCATTGTCGTTATCAAGAACAGAACAACAAAAAAGAGAATTATCTGGACATATTTCAAAGTGGTTACTTTTTCCTATGCCTATTGGATGTATGAGGAGGTTTGTATTCAATCTTTAAGGTGAGAACCCAGTGGCATTCTGGAAAAAAAACACTTAGAAGTGTGGTGGCCCAGCTAAGACTGGACTCTCTGAAATTGTTAATTCTTAAACTAATTCAAATTACGCCTCCTATAATTCATCAATTACAGTTTAAGTGTTTCTATACCACTGGCTCCAGTGTTGAACTTCGGTTTCCAGTAAGATGTCATTCTCTGTATGCCTCTCTCACCAGATTTGGGGGCAGTAGTTTGCCCCTTGATCTCAATTATCTGTTGCACCTGAAAAGAGTTGTTTTTCTTGGGTTTTTAAGCTTTTATCTTATGATAACAAAAATGATGAACTCAACAAGAAATTAAGCACTGCAGAATAGATAATCAATGAAGTTAAAAACAGGTTAATGTAAGCCATCCAAACCGAAGTAAAAGAGGAAAAAACAAAAAATACAATGATAAGACTTTCAGTGACTTCTTATGTAAAATTAAGCTGTAGAAAATGTGTGCATCTGTGTCTCTCCCAGATAATAGAGCTATTAAAGGATAAAAATATTTGAAGATATAACGTCCAAACATTTTCTAAATTTGATAAAACATGTTAATTTATTAGTACAAAGAATATCAGTCATAGGCATATCACAGTCAGTTTCTGTAACCAAAGACAAATTTTAAAATTTTAAATTAGTGTCAAAACAAACATTACATACAAAGGAACAATAAAAACAATTCAGACATTTCATAAGAAATAATACAGCCTGAAGATATGAACTACATTTTTAAGGTACTAAAGGGAAAACAAATATCTTGACAGAATTCTTTTGCTTTTCCAACTTTTATTTAAGATTCAGGGAGTATATGTACAGTTTTGCTAACCTAAATATATTTCATGATGCTGAGGTTTGGGGTATAAATGATCCCATCATTCAGGTACTGAGCATAGTACCCAGTAATTAGATTTTCAACCCTTTCCTTCTTCTCTCCCCCGATAGTAGCCCCAGTTTCTATTGTTGCCATCTTTATGTCCATGAGTATCTAATGTTTAGCTCCCACTTATAAGTAAGAACATACAATATTTGCTTTTCTGTTCCCGTGTTAATTCACTTAAAATAATGACCTCCAGTTTCATTCATGTTGCTACAAAGGACATAATTGTATTCTTTTTTATAGCTGTGTAGTATTCCATGGTGTCTATGTACCACATTTTTTTAATCCAGTCTACCATTGATGAGCATTTAAGTTGATTCCATGTCTTTGTTATTGTGAATAACGCTGTGATGAACGTGTGAGTGTATGTGTCTTCTTGGTAAAACAATTTGTTTCTTTTGGATATGTACACAGTAATGGGATTGCTGAGTCAAATAGTAGCTCTGTTTTAAGTTCTTTGAGAAATCTCCAAACTGCTCTCCATAGTGGGTGAACTAATTTACATTCTCACCAACAGTGTATAAGCATTCTCTTTTCTTCGCAGTCTTGTTAGCATCTGTTTTGACTTTTTAATAATAGCAATTCTGACTAATGTGACATGGTATCTTATTTTGGTTTTGATTTGCATTCATCTGATGATTAATGATGTGGAGCATTTTCTCATGTTTGCTGGCCACTTGTATATCTTCTTTTGAGAAATATCGGTTCCTATCTTCTGCCTACTTTTTTAATGGTTTATTGCTTGTTCAATTGCTGAAGTTTCTTATAGATTCTGGATATCAGACCATGTGGTGATAGAATTCTATATCTAGTAAAAATATCCTTTAAAAGTGGTAGTTTTAGAAAAACAAAAACAATGAATTAGTCCCCAGCAGACTTTAAATATGAGAAATGTTAAAGAACATTCTTCACACTAAAAGGAATTTATATATATGGAAACTTCAGATATTAAAAAATGAACAAAGATGCTATAAATAGTAAATATTTGAACTAATTTTAAAGATTTTTATCTTATTTCTTATTTTTAAATAGAAATTAAATTTAATAAAGCAATAATATCATTGTATTCTTGGTTTTATAAATATATAGAAATAAATTGTATAACTATAGCACAAAAGAGAGGAGGAATTATATTGATTTTCACATTTGTGTGTAATGTGGTAAAATATTAATTTAAAGTTTTAAGGTGGACTGTGATAATTTAAGCTTGGATATTTTAATCCTACCACAAAATATGAAATAAATCATAGCTAAAAATAATGAAAGGGTTAAAGTGAGGTACAGGAAAAAAAAAAACCTCATTTAATGCAAAATAAATCAGAAAAAAAAGAAACCCCTAAATCAAATGTGACAAATAAAAAACATTAAAAAATGATAAGCTTTAATCTAACTAAACCAATTATTACATTAAATGTAAATGAACTAAAACATTTAGCCTTGCCAGGCACTTGAGTAAAGGTGGTGGATACATATGGAGCTCGTTCACCATCTGCTATTTCTGTTTCTACTGAAGAGCTATTAGAAAAAAAAAATTCTAAAAACTGCTCATCCAATATGTATATATAGGAAATACATTTTATTTATTTTGTAAAATCTTCACTGTCGTCTGTTTTACATGGTATCAATAGCATATTACATAATTTTTATATGCCAATATTTAGAATAATGTACAAAAATTTCTGAAAGTTATATATACGGTTGGATATTATAACTTCATGAAATTACTTTAGAGCTCAGTTATAGCATATAAATAAACTGTAAAATGCCAAATAATTGAGTTCCAAAATTTGTACTTGTCTTTTAAAAGTACAAATGAGAAACATAAATCTTTCTGTGCCGTTTGTTTTTAATTCAAATTCTGAATTTTCTACTTAAATGTAATTACAATATAAATGGAGTATATTTTGTTCACTGGAGATCAGTCTGTCAGAATGTTAAGTCTTTATGAAATAAAGTTCTGTATCTACAAGATGCCAGTAAAAAAAAAAAAAAACACAAGCAAATAGAATAGATATCTTTTTAATGGACATAGATAGATCTTGCATATCTTACCAATTTAATGAAAACTTATCTAATGAATAATGCCTTTAATTTATACACATTAGTAATTATTAACACAAGGTATAGCCATTTATATTTTCTTACAGGTATTAGCATGTGGTTTATTTGTTAACTTCTGATTGATAGTAAATAGAGAGGGCAAAAGAGCATGTTAAATTATACCATGAGGATGCAATGGCAAAATCTCAAGTGTCAGAAATCATAGCAGGAGAAACCAGGTTTCTCCAAAAATTAATTTTAAAGAATAAACAAAAAGACAGAAATCATAATTTCAATTGTTTTTAAATATTAAATATTTGTAAAATTTTAAATATAGGAATATGGCAATTTATTCAAATAAACTAAAAAGTATGAAACAAATGGAAATTTGAACACTATAGGCTCTACCTCCTGGGTTCAAGTGGTGATCCTCCCATCTCAACCTTCTGAGTAGCTGGAACTACAGGCATGTGCCACCACAAACGTCTAATTTTTGTATTTTCTGTAGAGAGGGAGTTTCTCCAAGTTGACCAGGCTGATCTAAACTCTTGAGCTCAGGAGCTCAAGATCAAGCAATCCTCCTGCCTCAGCCTCCCAAAGTGCTGGGATTACAGGCGTGAGCCACAGTGCCTGGCCTTATGACATTGTTTCTATTTCCATGAGTGAAGTGGGGTTATAATGCGCTTAGGTTTTGTCATCAAGGTTATGATGATGTTAGAAAACAAGGAATTCCTATATATATATTTTTTTACTATCTAGGAGTGGTTCTGTAAAAGTTATACTATTTCTTCTTTAAATATTTTATAGGATTTACCAGCACAAAAATCTGGACCTAGGAGTCTTATTTTTAGTAAGATGTTTAAGTTATAAATATAATATTTTTAGATGTCAACATTTTATTATTAAATACCTCATGCTGCAGTTAGCCTCTGGAAACTTTTTTTTTAACATTTGATTTCCTGTATTACCCCTTGATTCAACCCTTGATTCAACTTTCAGACCAAAATATATCACCCAACATGTGTTATTACATATTTCAAGAGAAAGTTATGCCAAAGATATAACTTGTAATGATAGTGTGTTTCTAAAAGAAAATACAAATAAAAACTTGGAGAAAAGTTTTGTCTTATGCTAATTACAAAAGTATCACTTTTTTCTGAGAATGAAGAATTTCTAAGTTTAAAGATTGCAAACCACTCTCATTTAACATTAATTCATGTGTGAGAGAGAAGCATAGATACAAACTGAAGAACTCTGATTCATTTGTACTTATATTTCTATATTTTACATGATACACACACACACATATGCACTTTTAAAAATTATTTTAACAGAGACAGGGACTTTCTGTGTTGCCTAGGCTGGTCTTGAAGTCCTGGCCTCAAGTGATCCTCCCATCTGCCTGGGCCTCCCAAAGTGTTGGAATTACAGCCTTGAGCCACTACAGCCAGCTAAATTGTATTTTTAATTTTGAAATATTTTTCTTATTACCTTCCTTATCATATGAACTAGAATATGGGTTTTTTTTTTTTTTTTTTATTCTTTGATGTGGAGTTTTGCTCTGTTGCCCAGGTTGGAGTGCAGTCCGCACAATCTCAGCTCACTGCAACCTCTGCCTCCTGGGTTCAAATGATTCTCCTGCCTCAGCCTCCCGAGTAGCTGGGACTACAGGCATGTGCCGCCACACCTAGCTAATTTTTTCATATTTTTAGTTGAGATGGAGTTTCACCATGCCGGTCAGGCTGTCTCGAACTCCTGACCTCAAATGATCTGCCCTCCTCGACTTCCCAAAGTGTTGGAATTACAGGCGTGAGCCACCACACCCGGCCCAGAAAGTGTTTTATAAGTGTTGCAGCTAATAAAAATACATTCTATTGTTGGATAGTCTGTATTTTTAAATTAAATTTACTAATCATTTTATTTACATTTTCTAATTTTCTATAATTTTTTATTTCTGCTTTTAGTTCTGTCAATTTTTGTTTTATATGTTTGAGAATATATTCATTTGTATATACAATTTAGAAGTATTATATCTTAAAGAATTATGCTTTGTTATCATTATGATGTATCCTTATTATTTTTGGTAAAGATATTTTATTAAAAGCCTATTGTTTTTGCTGTCCCTAAAGCAACAATAGCATTCTTTTAGTTAGTGTCTGCTTTGTTTTCTTGGATTATTCTGTAATCTTTTATTTTCACTGTTTCTTTGCTCTTATTGCCCTGAAACTTTATTTTCAGTGTTTTTTTTCAATTCAATTTAATTACTAAAAAAAAAAAAAAAAAACAAAAAAGGCAGGCTGCTTGGTGGCTTACGCCTATACTCCTAGCACTTTGGGAGGCTGAGGCAAGAGGATCACCTAGGCCAGGATTTCAAGATCAGCCTAGGCAACACAACCAGACCCTGTTTCGGCAAAAACTAAAAAAACTATCCAGGCATGGTGGTAAAAAATGTACAGCATTCAGTCCATTTAAACCTAATGTGCTTACTGATATAATTGCATTTATTTTTACCAAGCTTTAAATTGTAATTTAAGTAATTATTTGTATTATTTGTTTCCCTTGTTTGGGATTATATTTTTCTCCATTTCTTTTCTCTCTGGTGTTAAAGAAATATGTTCTTTAAATAATTGGTCTTTTCCCTAAAGATTGCAAAATCTATTCTTGGCATGTCAAAATATAATATTTATGACAACTTACCCTCTTCCCATATAATGAAGGAATCTTAAATCACTTCAATTCCATTTGCCACATTCTCAATGTATAGACTGCTGTTTGCATGTATTTTAATTTAATTTTCATTTTAAGCTCAAATGACATGATCATTGTTTTAGATAATCTGTTTGTTTAGATTCCCTTACATTTATTGTCGTCATTCGTCCTAAATCTGTGATTTTTCTTTAAATATTACACAACTTCTGCTTGAAGAAAACCATTTGGTATTTTCATCAATATTGTCTCCTGTTGGTCGATTCTGTTTTTTTTAGTTGTACTCCCAAGATATTGCATTTTTAAAAATTTTTGTGGGTAAATAGTTAATGTATATATTTGTAGAGTACATAAACTATTTTGATACAAGCATACGATATGTAAGAATCACATCATGGTAAATGTGGTATCCATCATCTTAAGCATTTATCCTTTTTTATGTTACAAACATTCCAGTTATATTGTCATTATTTTTAGTATGTCAATACCATTTTTCAGCTCCAGGATTTCTGCTTGATTCTTTTAAATTATTTTAATCTCTTTGTTATATTTATCTCATAGGGAGCTAAACAACTAAAACAATTGAACTTATGAAGATAGAAGAATGATGGTTACCAAAGGCTGAGAAGGATAGAGGGGTAGGGGAGTGGGGATGGTTTATGGGTACAAATTATAATTAGAATAAATAAGATCTAGTATTTGATAGCACAACAGGGTGATTACAGTCAACAATAAGTTATTGCACATTTTAAAGTAACTGAAAGTATAATTTGAATGTTTGTAAAGCAAATGTTATCAAAATCTTATGCACCATATCTATAAATATATACACCTACTATGTACTCTTAAAAATTAAAAACTAATAAAAAAGAAATACATTTTTAAGGTTATAGCTGCCATAGATAGTAATTCTTCTAATGGATCTGGACAAAGTAAGTTAAAAACCTTTTGGAAAGAATTTACCAGTCTAGATGTCTTTAAGAACATTCATGGTTCATGGGAGGAGGTCAAAATATTAATGTTAATAGGAAGGAATTTACTCAAATTCTTATGGTTTACTTGAAGGGGTTCAAGTCCTCAGTAGGGAAAGTAATTGCAGATGTAGTGGACATAGGAAGAGAACTAGAAGTAAAATCTGAAGATGCAACTGAGTACTGCAATCTCATAATAAAAATTTAACCAGTGAGAAGTTATTTTTTATGGAGTCAAGAATACGGTTTCTTGAGATGGACTCTATTCTTGGTAAAGTTGGTGTGAATATTGTTGAAATGACAACAAGGGATTTTGAAAAACATGTAAACTTAGTTGAGCAAGCTGTGGCAGGGTTTGAGAAGATTGAGTCCAGTCTTGAAAGACATTCCAGTGGGACCAGAAACAATGGCTCACATCTATAATCCTAGGACTTTGGGAAGTCAAGGCAGAAAGATTTCTTGAGCCCAGGAGATTGAGACTAGCCTGGGCAACATAATGAGACCTGGTTTCTAAAAACAAACAAACAAAAAAAATTAATGAGCCAGGCATGGTGGTACATACCTGTAGCCCTAGCTACTCTGGTGGCTGAAACAGGAGGATCTGCAGGAGCACAAGAGTTTGAGGTTACAGTAAACTATGATTGCACCACTGCACTCCAGCCTGGGAGACATAGTGATATTCTCTCCCAAAAAAAAGGAATTAGTAAGAAGTTCTACTGTGGTTAAAGTGCTATCAATCAGCATCATATGCTACATAGAAATCTCATGTTACAGTCAATTGATGCAGACAACTTCTTTGTTGTCTTATTTTTGAAAATATCCATAGCCACTTCAACCTTCAGCAATCGCCACCCTGATCAGTCAGCAGCCATCAACATCAAGACAAAACTTTCCACTGCCAATAAATTACAACTTACTAAAGGCTCAGAGGATCACTTGCATTTTTAGCAATGAAGTATTTTTAATTAAAATATTTACATTGTTTTTATACATAATACTATTGCACACTTAATAAACTGCAGTCAGTGTAAACATAATTTTTATGTGTCCTGGTAAACAAAAATATCATGTAAATTGCCTTGTTGCAATATTCACTTTATTGTGGTGGTCTGGAATAAAAACTGTAATATCTTCAAGTTATTCCTATAATCTTTAGTGGGTGTCTTTGGAGGCTTATGCAGAAAGTAAGAGTAAGAATTAGACAAGTAAGGATCCCACTTGTCAGCTTCTGGACTCCTTGCCCTTATAGGCACAAGCGTGATCAAATGTGCCCTTAAACACCTCTACAATTCACAATTGTTTTTTGGAGAAAAGGTGCCCCCAATATAAGGGTACACATCCCTGGAAACTCACCCTCCTTAGAAGAATGGCCCAGTAGTTATTTACTTTAGTGTCAATTCTTCAATATCTTCAAGTAGATCTTTATTTGTTTGATTTTTTTGGTCCAGATTTTCTTATCTTCAGTAAGGAAGGCCTTCAGAAGTTACATTCACCATTATCTAGTGATAAAAATTTGTATCTAATTATTAAAATCCAAAAATAAATATTCAGGCATAAGATGTTTTACTTGTCCAATAGTAATGATATAGTATAATAAGTATAGTTACAGCCTAATTGTTTTAAATCTTAGGCCCTTCCTCCACCTATTTTTCTGGAACTCTTTTTTTACAGGAAGTTCATATTTCAGCAGGTGGTGCAGGAATGTGGTTCAGGCTAACAAGACTTGCCTCTGATCCAGGATTTCACATTTGAGTTTTTTGAGCCTTTACTCTTTCTTTGTCAATGACAATAGGCAACAGTATAGTTCTTTCCTCCCTACCCTCACCACCAAATACAAACATTTTCTTCTCTTTCATTCTCACAGAGCAAGCTATTTCCTTTGATTAAGGTTACACATATAATTTTTCATTTAATCCTGTCTTCTCTTCTAGCTGGTTCCATCTTGATGCTATTATTGTGGTGAAGACATTTAGTTTCTTCATGCTTTGATATTAAATAGTTTATTTTACCTTCAAAGAGTAATTTTTGTTGGCTCTTTTGAGGTGCAGGAATGACATCATTTGTTAGAAACAGCTTTTATTTACTTTCACCTGGATTCCTTCCCTGATGAATATCCACTGCTGTGAACATTCTTTCTATCCATCTTGGGGTTTGAGTTTTAGCTCCTTCCACTTTCACTTACTATACAGTGTGGGCAGGAACAGAAAAACAAATACTGCATATATTCATGTATAAGTAGGATCTAAACATTGGACATAAAGAAGGGAACAGACACCAGAGTCTACTTGAGGGTGGAGGGAGGTAGGAGAGTAAGGATCAAAAAGTTACCTATTGAGTACTATGCTTATTACCTGGGTGGCAAAATAATCTATACATCAAACCCCTGTGACATTCAGTTTACCCATGCAACAAACTTGCATGTGTATCCCTGAACCTAAAATAAAAGTTAGAAAATTTTTAAAAATAAATGCTGTGGCTATTGGAAGATTTCTTCAAAAAAATGAAGGAAACAATTTCTAGAAAACTGAAGTTTTTACATTATACAATATATACTTTTTAAACAATTATACGATCTTAATTAATTTTTAGGAAAAATGAAACAAGTTAACAAAACAACAGCATATAATAGTTAAATACTTTAAACAAACTTGAACAGTATATATACTGTAACATAACAGAAAAGTTGATATCTTTAAGTACATACTTCATTATTTTAATTTCTTGACCTTTAAAATTTATTATGAGACCTGACAATTTTCAATGTCACTTCCAGTTTTAAATATTCAGAACTCAATTGCTGACTTCATTAAAGTTTTGGCTTGTCAAGGTTTAGTTATATATAACAAGAATAATTGTTCAAGTGGTATTTCCTTTAGATTAATTATTTGATTATATAAATATTTTATAAGGGATATGTTTATGTTAAAATGTTAAACTTCTGGTATATTTCTTAAAAACCTCTTAATTTACAATAAAAATTGCTTATATTTTTCAAAAACTATAACATGCAATTGTGCCTGGATACTTTAAGCAGTTTTAATTTGAAAATGTAGCTATATTGTTTTCTTTGCTTTTCTGTCTTGAAAAAGATAAAACAAAAAATGTCTCCTCATTCTGCAGAAATTTTAAATATTAAGTCTTCCCTTTTATAAAGAAAAGAGCTAGCTTTAAGGTCATCAATGTTTCCAAATTTGGATTTAATAGGCCATAAATGTCTCTTGCCAGAAAAGAAGATATATTTTTTAAAGAGATAGGAGATGTGGTTCCTCCAGAGAAAGCAATAAAAAAGGAATGATTTCCCCTAGGAAAAAAAGGAGGTCAGAAGCTTTGGGAAAGAGTTACTGGCATCCACTCTCAAGCCAGGGAGTTGATCCTGAAGTTTGATAATGCTCAGAGTCTAGAAAGAGCTGAATGACTGGACCAAGTGAACACTATAAAGACATAAGAGGTCCCTATTGGGATAGACACATTGACCAAACACTTCTCAGCCTTTAGAGAAAATATCTCATTGTCTTAAACCAAAAGATTATTATCATTTCCAAGTGGTCATTAGCAAGACCCATTAAATAAAATATCCACTTAATGCATATTTTCCAAATAACTTAAATAATATCTCTCTCCAGATTAAGTAAATTGTAAATGCACAAATTAAATCAGGACATCTGGAGCTTTCAAGAATATTGCCTAGAGATTATATGTAATAACCATTTATTCAGCACATTATTACTTTTTCAAAGAACGATTAAGCTCATGATCTTACTTACTCTCCATAATAAAAACTGACCGTGAAGTATAATTGAAAAATTCTGGCCTAAGACTCAGGAATCTCAGGACCAAATTTGGCTTTATTTCTAAAGTCACTTAACTTCTCTGTGAAAAGTCACTGAATTTCAGTATGCATTGAATGCTTAAATGTGGTTTTATTCCTTTTGGCTGTGCAACATCCAATCCAATGTTATTTTGGTAATAAAACATATGTTTTTTTTTCAAGATGGAGTCTTGCTTTGTCACCCAGGCTAGAGTGTAGTGGCACGATCTCAGCTCACTACAACCTCTGGTTCCTCTGGGTTCAAACAACTCTCCTTCCTCAGCCTCCTGAGTAGCTGGGATTACAAGTGCCCACCACCACACCTGGTTAATTTATTTATTTTTAGTAGAGACAGGTTTCACCATGTTGGCCAGGCTGTTCTCGAACTCTTGACTTCATGATCTGCCCATCTCGGCCTCCCAAAGTGCTGGGATTACAGGTGTAAGCCACCATGCCAAGCCAAAACATGATTTTTCTTTGGGGAAAATAGGTTTAATTTTTCAGGAGTTAATGTTTAGATGACGATAAGTCCCTGTTACTGGCTTAACAGATGAAGCTTTAGCCTGTATGGCAGTGATTTGTTCATGAATGAACGAATAAGCCAATTATGACCAGTAACAGTCATACCTGAAACATTGTTTTAGAGCTATAGAAAAGAGATGTTGTTTCCCCTGGAGTAACTAAACTAGTAAAATATAACCCCGGAGAAGTTTGAAATTCCCAATGTGGACAGCAGGTCAGCAAATAAGAGCAATGCTAAGGAAAATATAATAGATAATGGGAAAGACAATGATTTAATATGAATTAATGTTATTTTAATTAATATAAATTTATATATTAATATAAATAAGACTTGATTAAATATGAATTTCTATATTCAGCCATGTTTGCCCAATACATTCTTTTTTTAAAGCCCATTTTAGTTCAGATTCTATCATTTGCAAGGGGACAAGTCATGACTCATATACTATCTTCCACTATAAAATCATAGAAGTAACTAGATAATAATTTCCAAAGTTAAATCACTGTAATGCAAACCCTAAAGAGAGGTAATTAAATACAGAATCTAAGCTCTCTAAGTGGAGAGATATTTTTCCTCCAACTGCTGATTCATCAGCACCAAGAATAGTATTAAGTGCTCAATACACATGTGTTAAATAAATAGATGGATTTTCATCTTGAGATGAGGAGGTCCTTTTATAATTTTTTTCCTCTTATCATTCTTCTAGAAGGAAAAAAAATCAATATTATTTATTTACAGTTGAGTGTGTTACTAAATTATGTCACATCTTTAATTGACTATCTGGCTCCCATAAGTATCTTGGGAACGTGGAAGTCTTTCCTGTCTTTATGAAATTGCAAAACACAGGCAAATCTTTATTGTTCTTACTGATGAGGCTGACCATGAGTACAGTTGTCATAAAATAGATGAAGCATCTATTTTAACACAATTAAATCTGTATGGAACACATATTTTTGCAAGTCTATATTATGCATGAATGATTCCATGGTTATGAAATATTTGTTGAGCACTTACTATGTGCTAAGAATTGTGCAATTACAATGTGTTATAAGAGAAACAGCGAAATGACCCTTCAATTTCCTTATTCATTAGATATGAACAATATAATATTTACCTAATATCATTTATAAGGAAAAAATATAAAAATATAATTATATATTTGAAAATACTTTGTAAACTGCAAATTAATATGCACATCTAAGTAATTTTTAGGCTAACCCACATTAGGACCTAAAATTGCATCATTATTCATAGACATGAACATTTTCACTGTTTCAGGCAGGACAATTTCTGCAAAATAGGGTGTGAATGACTCCCACTGGAACACAACTCCAGAATGCATCATTCACTGGAATAATTCAAAGCTGTTGCCCTGGGCCCAATCAATAATAACAACTCATTTATCTCAATTGTCTCCTCACTTTGCTGTCACTGAGACCTCAGTCCCTGCTAAAGCTTCCTAAATCATGTATATATTCCCAAAGGCTGCTTTATATATACTTAGGAACACACGGATCCTGCCCTCCTTTTCATCTCCAGATTCAACTTTCCATAGAAATGTCCACGGCTAAGATCACTCTGTTTTAAAACTGCAGGAAGGCATTTTAATTTACACCCTGTTCCCCATGGCTGTTACCACCAGACATTGAAATCACCTTTCCCAATTTCTACCGCTGACACTGGCACTGTCACATCTTCTGTGGGTTTTTCACTGTGTCCTCCTCTGCCAGGAACTTCTATCTCTGATCCAAAGGATATCTCAGAGAGCCAATGTGGTTTTGTAGAAAAAAAAAAAAAAGTCATTAGCTCGAAACTTTTTTATAACATGGAAACATGGGAATGGGTCATGACTGTTTTATGGAGAGCAAGAAGTTTAAAGGCTTTATAAGAAAAATTGAGGATGGTCAGGAAAAGTACAGTTTTTTCAGTGAGTTTTAACTATTCAAAGTCCTAAAAGGTGTGAGGATATTGAGAATGTGTTAATCATGGGAGAAGATGCGAGAACAGCAGGACTGAGTTTATGGTTAGCAGTTTTTTATCAATCGAATTTAGGAATATGTACAGGAAGAAACATTTGGGAACAAGTTCTTGCTGGTGTCAACAGAAATTTTTTTACTCCTTCAGTATTTTTAGCACTCAACCTAGTAGATTCTTCATGGGCACTTTGCTCAATGCAGATGTGAAGAATGACTCCCACTTTTGCTATTAGGATTTATCAGACAGTTATTATGATACTTCATAGTCTACCTCCCTCAACCCCTCCAGAGGAAATAGACATAAATGTATGGGCATTTGGGATAGTGACTAATGTTTCTGTACATACAATATTGCATTTAGACTCATCCTTTCTGCTATGGGCTGAATTGTGTTCCCCCAAAATTCTTATATTTATGTTCTAGCCCCTGGTTACCTCAGATGTGACTATATTTGGAGATAGGGTATTTAAAGAGATGATTAAGTTAAAATAAGGTCACTAAGGTGGGCTCTAATGCCATACGATTTGTGTCCTCATCAGAAGAGGAAATTTTGTCATAGTCATATAAAGAAGGAAGAGCCTATGAAAATACTCATCCCAGATTTCCAGCCTTCAGAATTGTGAGAAAATACATTTCTGTTGTGTTAACCACCCGGTTTTTGGTACTTTATCATGATGACCCTAGCAGACTAACACACCTCTCCTCTTAAAACTAAAGTATTGTTAATAAAGGAGGCCTGTTCCTATGTCCTTCTCATTCCTTAAAATAAATTCTCACTCAAAAGTCATATCAAGTCTTCTGATACACAAATCCCCCTGAAATATCCAGTAGGTCTAAATCCCAGTGTTGGATGCCGCTTAAGTTTCAGATGAGCCACACACTCTCTATTCTCAAACCAAACACTCTTTTATACATTTAATGAACTGTCATGCCACTATTGCTGGCCCCATTATTATAACAGATGTTCCTATTAAAAAAGTAAGTATTACTTTGCTGTAAGTCAGTCTATAATTAAGGTTCACAGGTAAAGGGAAAACTCTACTTGAAAGAGTGATGAATTTGTTCAGCTGCTTCCACTTTGTAATGGCATGTTTAGGAGAACCTCTCTATTGCTCTTCCGTGTACAAGTTTTGGTCAATACCTGAAGTAATGGTGTTGTCATTAGGCTTGCTTAAACATAAAAGCTTTGAGGTGTCAAAGAGAACGTTCATTGAAAAAGAAATTGACTATATGGCACACTTGAATGTGCCTGTACTTCTAAATGAATTTGTAAACTCATCCTGATTGATGACACAATGGGCAACACCTAGCAGGCTTGGAGAAGAAAATTAAATACACATAGATTGCACACTGATAAAGGGTAAATGCTCTTTCTATTGTTCAGTGTGATTTAAAATTTTGTTATATGTTAGAATAATTCATTTTACTCTCACTGTAAATTAATAGATAGATGATGAACACTGGAATTAAATAGAAATTAATTAACATACTGGCTCTCCTACTTAGTACCGTCAGACTCCTGCCCCTTTTTCACAAAAATATCTTAATCTGCAAGCTAGAAATAATAACGCCAATTCTTCAGTAATTGTAAGGATTATTAATGTATATTGCTTAGAAATTTGTAAATGTTCAACAAGTGTTAGTTGCTTTCAGTAATGTTAGTCAGCAAAGGCAAAAATGTTGGTGTTACAGTACAGTTAAACTGAATATAAAATGTCCTTATATTGCATATTTTCTTTAACGGGATGTATTAGTTTCCTAGGACTGCCATAACAAAGTACCACAAACTGGGCAGATAATAACAACAGAAATTTATTTGTCACAGTTATAGAGGCTAGAAGTCTGAAATCCAAGCGTCAGTAGATTTGTTCCTTCTGGAGCCTCTGAGGGAGTAACTCACATGCATTCTCTCCTAGCTGCTGGTGGTTGCTGGCAATCCTTGGTGTTCCTGGGCTTGTAGATACTTGTAAATCACTCTCATCTCTGCCTCCGTCTTCACATGGACTTCTTCCTTGCATATCTTCCCATGACCTTCTTGTAAGAGAAATATTCATTGGATTTAGGGATCTCCTCAATCTTGTATGATCTAATCTTAATCAATTACATCTGCAAAGGTCCTATTTCCAAATATGGTCACATTCTTAGGTTACACGTGGACGAGAATTTTGGGGAGACATTATTCAATCAAACATAGTTCATCCTCTTTTTTCCCCCAAATTCACATCTTCTCATTTGCAAGAGTCACTCCATCACAACATCCCTAAAACTCATTCCAGCATTAATTCTAATCCAAAATTATTAACTCAAAAAGTTCTGAATCTCATCACTTAAATCACCTTAATCGGCCAGGAATGGTGGATCACGCCTGTATCTCAGCACTTTGGGATGCAAAGGCAGGCAGATCGCTTGAGGTCAGGAGTTCAAGATCAGCCTGGCAAATATGGAGAAACCCTCCCTCTACTACAAATACAGAAATTAGCCAGGCGTGGTCCTGTGCTCCTGTAATCCAAGCTACTTAGCTGGCTGAGGAACCAGAATCACTTGAACCCAGGAGGCCGAGACTGCAGTGAGCTGAGATCATGCCACTGCACTCCAGCCTGGGTTTCAGAGTGAGACCCTGTTTCAAAAAAAAAAAAAAAATTACCTTAATCAAGAGATGTTGAGACTCTAGCTATAATCTATCCTGAGGCAAAATTCCTATGGATGTGTAAAACCAGAAAACAAGTTGTCTATTTTGAAAATACAATGGTGGAACAGCCATACAGTTGATGTTACCATTCTGAAAGGAACAATAGAGAGGAATAAAAGGGTCACTGATCTAAAGTGAGTTCACAACTCATCAGGGCAAATCTCATTAGGTAGACCTATGTAATAAACCTGCATGTTCAGCACATGCATCCCAGAGCTTAAAGTAAAATTTTAAAAAGATCAAAAAAATAGCTAATATGTAGAATGAACATAATGTCCCTCAACAAATGAATGGATAAAGAAAATGTAATGTATATACACACAATGGAATATTATTCGGCCATAAAAAATGAAATTCTGTCATTTGCAACAACATAGATGAGCCTGGAGGACATTATGTTAAGCAAAATAAGTCAGGCACGGCAAGTTCTCACTCATACGTGGGAGATAAAAAATATATTTTTTTGAGCTCGTTGAAGTAGAGAGAGAATTTTGGGCGTTAGAAGCTGGGAAATGTAGGAGGGTGAGAGGATAGGGAGAGGTTGGTTAATGGATACAAAATTATAGCTAGATAAAAGGAATTAGTACTGATGTTCTGCAGTACTGTAGGGTGAATATTCTTAACTATGAGTTATTGTGTATTTTTTTTAAAGATAGAAGAGAGGATTATATGTAATGTTCACAATATAAAACAATGATAAATGTTTGAGGTGATGGATATGCTAATTACTCTGATTTGATCATTACACATTTTATATATATATATCAAAATGTCCATTTGTATCCCATAAATATGTACAATGATTACACACCAACTAAAAATAAAACTCATTTTAAAAGATAAATAAATAAATAAATAAATATAAAAATAACAGCCTGAGAATTATCCTCTGTGGCTCTATGCTCTGCCTTTTGTGATGGAGGCTCCACTAGCCACATCTTCTGTGTTACCTTCGAAGTTATTCTTCCTTCATTTCATCCCATCTTTGTCTTTTTCAGTCTGGCTGGCAGTATTTCAGCTGGTATAACATTTTTTAAAAGCATACCAGCCTTCTGTGTATGTGAAGGAGATCCACACTATTAGGTAGAAGAATTTTCCACAGTTTTTCCTGGATAATCCCATGCCTATTCCTAGTCTTTGCTGAGATAATTAATTGGCTCCATGAGTGTCACACCTAAGCTCTTCACCAAAAGATAGTCCAGCCCAACATGCTTTATAATATTTTATAATATGGATCAGCTGAGAATTTTCCAAAAATTCAAGTTCTGGTTCCTTTGTGTTGAAGAGTTGCTTCCTCATCTTTCCTCCTGCATTTGACTATAAACAGCAAGAAGAAATCAGGTCACACCTTCCTTATGTTGCTCAGAAATCTTTTCAGCTAAATATTTAAGTTTCTTGCTTACAACTGCCACTTTCCACCCAGCTAGAACACAATTCATCTAAGTTTTCTGCCACCTTGTAATATGAATTAAGAATCACTTTCCTCTAGTGTCCAATAACATGCTTCTCATTTTCTTCCAAGACTTCACTAGAAGCACCTTTAACATTTATATTTCTACCAACGTACTGTTTATAATGCTATGCATATTCTCTAAGATGATAGTTTTCTCTACCTTCCTCTTCATTTGCATGTGACCCTTCACCAGAATCATTTTTAACATCTGTATTTCTACCAATCTTCTCTTCAAAGCAATCTAGACTTTTTCTATCAAGTGCCTCTACCCATTACCCAGTTCTAAAGCCACTTTCACAATTTTAGGTATTTGTCACAGCAGTACCCCACTCCCCATTACCAAAATCTGTATTGGATTTTTAGAGTTGCCATAAAAATGTATCACAAACTGGGTGTTTTAAAACAACAGAAATGTATTATTTCACAGTTATGGAGGCTAGAATTCTGAACCCAAGGTGTTGGTGGGCTTGGTTTCTTCTGAAGAAGCTGAAGGAAAAACTCTCTCATGACTCTCCCTACTCTCCGAGGGTTGCCGACAGTCCTTGGTAGTCCTTGACTTAGAGATACAGCACTCCTATCTCTGCTTCCATTTTCACATGTCTTTCTTCTCCATGTGTCTTTCAATTCCTTTTTTTTTAATAAGGACCCAATCATTGAATTTAGGGGTACCCTAATCCAGTGGCCCTCATCTTAATTAATTATATCTTCCAAGATAATTTTTCCAAATAAGACCACATTCTGAGGTTCCGGGTGGACATGTTCTTAGGGAGAAAAACATTCAACCTAGTAGCAGAAGGTCATGTGTTTCAAATCAGCACATGGATCTAACAGTTAATGTAGTGTCTATGATAAATGGAGAGCACTTATTAAAGCATTGATTCAGACAAAATACATCAACAATAAGCATCATTCTCCTTCCACTTTCTGCATAAAAACATTATTTTTAATACAATATGGTTTGATAGAAACATTTAATCTTGTTCCAAAATATTTTCAGGGATCCAGTCTCTGGAGAAAACTGATGTTTAAGATACAGCTACACATATGTATTAAGTAATTACAAAACAACAAAAATTAAAAGCATTTTCTTTAATGCCAAGAGTGATAAATGCAGCAAATGCTAAAAAAAAATTTTTGAAAATCAAAATTAGCTACAGGCCAAAACCATCACCCCAACCAATTCCTTATATTATGCTTCAATTGTAAAGTAACATTTACATGATAGGAACTTGATTTCAAGTGGCTTATTGTTTGATTTTCCTAATTAATAATAATCCTCCTGGGGTACTTGTTTTAAGCCCAGTATTATGCAGACTTGGCGTGCAAAGGGAAGCTGAAAGCAGTGGTGGTATGTGCTATTTCCCGTGGTGCCAGCTGCTTTGAAAAGATGCATCCAGCTGCTTGGCCGTTCCTCCAGTGAGCAGCAAGACTGAGAAGCAGGGCTCCAGTGGCACCTGGCAGCCACAGTCCCTGCAGGTGACGAAGGCTAAATGACTTTGAACAAGGACTCAGAAGAATAGTATGACCGAAGCAAGGAGTATTGTGCTGGATTACAACAGTGAAGATGAAAGTAAAATGAAGCTGAATAAGCAGGCAGGAATGGTGGAACAGATTAAACATTTAAATGCCACCTGTTTCCTGTCGCTCCCATTACTAGCTATCCCTTACTTGATGAAGGAAAATTTTTCAGAACCACTTGTTTGGAACTCACTCCTGAGCATTTGGTTAGAAGCAAGAATATCCTTAAGTTTTTATGTTGCTTCCTTTGTTTGTAGGGGTCACTTTTAATTAATTATACTAAAATCTATTAATATCTGAGGACTTGGCCCCAAGCATTGGCTCCTAGGTAATTCTGATATATATATATAGTTAAAAATTGCTAAAAATTATGATTTGTTCCTACTCATGCTGTGATCCTGTCTCCTGACAAAGTAGCTTGAGTCACACAAACATTAAATATTACATTCCAACATGGTTTTGTAAAACCTCTAGTTTTCTGCCAAGTCTTCCCTGGATTCAGGGGCTTTCCAGGAGTAAGGTTGCAAACGAATATCACATATGCTTAGAAGCAGGTCTTGACTAGCTTTGAGGTGAGTCCAGCTTCTTAGCATTTTCCTGCTGGGACTTACCTTTTTTGTGTCCACAAAAGTTCTTTGCTTCCTCCATGAAGATGCTCTGCCAATGCTTCCAGCATCTGTCCATCAGCTTCCATCTGGAAACCATTGCTTTCTCTGGGGCACTGACACCCCGCTATACATGCAATGAAGGAGCCTCTCTTCTCTACAGATCTCAGTGTTCCCCTGCCCACCACCCACTATACAGAAGTGGAGAACTCTATTCCCTTTTATTTTTGTTCTGTTACTTTGTTTCTAAAGCAGTACTGTATTGCGGGATCTGGCCAGCAACCCGCAATGCAATGGGACTCTTTCTTTGTTCCCAGGCAGATCAGCAGGTCTAGAAATAATAGACACATACAAGATAGTGAAAGCTGGGTCCAGGGGGGTCACCGCCTTCTGGTCCTGCGATGCCACCAATGCACTGGATATGCCAGCATTTATTATTAAGTTTAGTGAGGGCGGGGGTAGGTTAGTGAGGGATTTAGGGTCATTTGATTATGAGGTGAAATGGTCACATGGGGATAGAGTAATTCTTAAACATAATATCTGTATGCAGAAGTACAGTATACAGAGATAAGAATTTACAATATAGTGTGTGCATCAGTAATTTCTAACAGAGCCTTAAAACAGAAATACAGTCTTTCCATAACCTATGATTAGCAAGATACTAATCAGCAGTAACAGTGGCAGCAAAATCTGGTTACAAGCAATCAAAGAAACAGGACATGAAGCTAGACAACCAGTTAGACCAGAAATTCTCAGAAGGGAGTATGCCTTAACCCTAAAGAGGCTTAAAAGAGCCATGGCAAGATAAGGGCATATAAACAGGCACCCCTCATGCATCCATTTATAGGCTCTCCACAAGGGTTGCCAGTGCTATGAACATCTGCTTTTCTGGGATAGGAATCTTGGTGATGTGAAACCTCCCTGACTGCACGTCCATTCTTAGACTCTCTGCAGGGGGAAGCACATCATGTGCTGTCGGCTCATTCTGGCAGCCCAACCTGGCGTTGTCTTTACACCATCCTGCATGCAATTTTGTATTTATAATAATCAGGAGCATTTCATCTTTCATTCCATAGCAATAGTTTCAGGGGGTCTCTCTACATCTCCCCCTTTTCTCTGATTTAAATGAAACTCCATAGCAATCATAGCTTGGTGCTGATCATGATTGGATTGAAGAATATTTTTTCCAATTGTACACATGAACAATAAACCAATAGCACAAATTATACCCAGAACAAAATTAATGATAGTGGATCCTCCCAAAGATTTTACCCATTGATGGGGTTGAGATTAGATAACCACTCAGAGATACCATCTAAAACTTCAGCACCGGGTAAAGCAGTGAAGTGTGCTTGAGAGGCCTCAAAAATCTGTTCTTTTAGCGTGCTTATGTCTAAACTTAAATTATCTTCACTTCCTTGTAAATGGCGTTTTACTGATTCCTAATTGTGAACACACTCATTATATTGGAACGGAGTTATACAAAAATCAGAAGTATTCCAATCACACTGCATTTGTAATCTATGTTCTACACTCATAATTCTGTCTCCCATCCATGTAACAGTTTGTCTTAGATCATTAATTTGATTGGCCAATTTTTGATCAATACCTGACTGAGAATTCCACATCTGAGTAGAATTTTTTTTTGCCATTTATCCACAAAATGAACAGTTTGTATAGATCAATGTAATGCAACTCCAGCAGCAGCAGCAGTCACAGTAATAGCAATCAAGCCCATTACTACTGCAATTAACATAAAAATAAATTGTTTATTCCTTTTAAGAATTTTTTATAGAATATTGTTAATACCTGGACAGAAGGGGAAGATTCCCAAGGCCTATGTAAGGCTACGGGGAGCCAAATACCTTCTCTGGCTCTGACTATTAAAATACTATGATATTGATTAAAGGATGAGTCAATACAAGTATACAAGTAACAATTAACACAGATAATTATGTTGGTTTTTGAACTAATATGCATCTTTCCTACTAATAACATATATGGTGTTTTAACATAACTTTAAAGCAGTATAGTTTTGTTAGACTCCATATAGATAGTATATATATTTTGGGATGGTACTCTTTTTTGTGAATGTGGGGTGGGGGGAATAGGTTTTATGAGAGGTGGTGGGGGGGACATTAGCAACAGGGGGGTATAAGTCCTCATAAACTTTACTGTCCCATCTTTGAATTGACCTTTTGACAACTGCCATAGTGATATTTTTCGCCGTGTGGAAATAGTAGTGTAAATCAGTCTGTTGTCTTAGTTTTCGAGGTGACAAGGTGGATTTACTTATAACACTTTCTCCAGCCCAAACCCTCATACCAGTCATAGCTATGGTTAATCTCCATAATTCTGAATGTTCAGGTCCGAAGTGGGGAACAACGAGCCTTGGCTTTGGAGGGACAACCCCTTTCATATTTTATTCTGTAGCAATAGTTTCAGGGGGTCTCCCTATAGTATTGCCCAATGTTCCAATGGCTTACAGAGTTTTGATTGCTTTCAGAGTTTTGATTGATAAAAGCTCCCTTTTTCAATTTCATTGGAGTGAAAGGAGGGCTAATAGCTAATAAATATGCATTTCTGGACAAAGAGTTCACATGGGTTTTTACTTTGTTGATTGTATCCTTTGCTGTGCAGAATAATAGTTTAAAGAGCATAGATTGTTTGCAACTTAATGGATAAATGCTTGAGATGATGAACACTCCATTCTTCATGATGTGCTTATTTCACATTGCATGCCTGTATCAAAACATCTCATGTACCCCATAAATATATACACCTACTATGTACACACAGAAATTTTCAAAAAATTAAAAGGACAAAAACAAGAGAAAACAAAAGGGTTTTTAGTGGAAATTACTTCTTATTTAGTTAATTTCAGTGGCAACAATTTTTATACAGATTTTTTGAATGAAAACATATCAGTGTTTTCACGCTGAAATCAAAGCATAAAAATCACATTCCTGAACAATCATCTTTATAAATTTAACATAATTTGCATATTTGTACTTATTGAGCTATGGTATTCTTTACAATAGTTACCTTTAATATGTTTTTTATTGTATTATAATAACGAATATTTTAGATGTTTTAATTCTTCAGTATATCCAAAAAGAGCTAAAATTAATTACCTCATACATATATATTTGTCCACTGTGGAAATAGATCTGAAAGATAAATTCCTAGAATTATTTAGTCAAATCTCACATTTTAAAAATCATGATAAATGTTGTCATATTGTGCTCCATGAAAGCTGTACCCAAATAAACCTTACAATAATAGGTTGTTTCATCACATCTACATACTTTTTGTCTTTGCCAGTGTAATAGGTGAAAAATAGGATTTTCTTATAGTTTTAATACACATTTCTGGTTATATGATTTTCATTGAGCTTATTTTAAAGTTGTTTTTGTGTCATTTGATGTGAACTTTTTCCATACCTGTTACTTTTTCAAATTTTTTTCTCATTAATTTGTTAAGGCTTTAAGGGATTTAGAATAATAGTATTTTGCCCATGTTAAGTATTCAACATACTTTTTCACACTTTATCACTTTTCTTTTGATTTTGTAGATGTTTTCCACATCAAAGTTTTAAATGGCTTTGTGTCATCAACAGTCCACAATAGACTCCTAGAAAAATGTATTGGTCAAGCAAAGTTGAATTTAATAAACTTAGTGTATCAAGGAAAAACACAGCCTTGATAAAATCTTAGTAGTGTCTTAAAAGGAGGAAATAGTATACCGAGTTTATAGGGTTAAGCTTAAATGGCTTTAGTTCTCAAGGTGGTAAACTGATTGGAATTGGGAAAGTTTATGACATAAAGGTGTGGAATTAGTGGACACAGAGCACTAAGGAAGGGTATTAAAGCGATTCTTCATGAGCAAATTGTCCTGAGAAATGAGCTGTTTGTCCAGGTGAGCAAATTGTTTGCCTAGATGAATTGATTTGCAAACATTTCCTAAAGTAAACAGAGAAGTTGTTTATTGATTTTCATTCTTAACTTCCTGTGTAAGAATTTTCTGGAGCAAAGAATTAAATTACATTGTCAAAGGTGGTCTCGGTTCTCAATCCTAACAATTATATATATACGTATATTTATAATTATAACCAATATAATTATATTGATATTGGTGGTGTCAGTTCTTGTGGTTTTTAAGTATTTATATGTCTTCCCAATTTCAAAACTATTTCTAGAAATATTAAAAAGAAAAAAGTCTAATAATTTTATAGTTTCCTCTTTTTCCTCCTCTACTTTTTCTCCTGTTTCTTCCTCTCAATTTATTTGCTTGTGTATTAGTCAGGATTCTCTCGAGCAACAGACTAATAGGATTTATATATACACGAAAGGGAGTTTATTATGGAGAACTGACTCACAAGATCTCAAGGTAAAGTCCCAAGATAGGCTGTCTGCAAGTTCAGGAGAAAGGAAGCCAGTGATCAATCAGTCCGAGTCCCAAAAACCTCAAAAATAGGGAAGCCAACAGTGCAGTTTACAATCTGCGGCCAAAGGCCCAACGACTCCTGGCAAACCACTGGTGTAAGTCCAAGAGTCCAAAAGCTGAAGAACTTGGAGTCTGATGTTCGAGGGGACAGAGAACATCCAGCACGGGAGAAAGATGAAGACCGGAAGAATCAGCAAGTCTGCTCTTCTGTCTTCTCCTGCCTGCTTTATTCCAGTGGTGCTGGCTGCTGATTGATTAGATGGTGCCCACCCACATTGAGGGCGATTCTGCCTCTCTCAGTCCACTGACTCAAATGTTAGTTTCCTTTGGCAACACCTTCACAGACACAGCCAAAAACAGTATTTTCCATGCTTCAATGCAATCAAATTGACCCTCAATATTAACCATCGCAGCTTGAATAGGTATTGAGTATGTTATAAGAAGTGAAGTTGTAGTACCAACTCATTTTTAGGTTCCTAATCAATATTCCCAATGTCGTCTATGAATTAATCTACATTTTCTTCACTTACATAAAATGACATATTTCATATACTAAATTCCCAGGCATATTTGTATATATATCTAGACTCTTTCTTCTTTAACATTGGTTTATTCATGAATTAGTACACTATTATATTCATTATTAAGGTTTATGATATTTCATAATATGTTTGACTATCTTCAGGTCCTTCAAGTCTACCTGATTATTCTTACTTTTCAATAATTTCCTAATTAATCTTAAACATTCATTTATGCTCATGAAATTTAGAATAAGCTTCACCAGTACTAGTAAAAAATATCCTATTGGTAGATTGCAAGGATCACAGCTTGCACACTGATTTATTATTAATTGAGACTCTTCTTATATTAAGCTTATGTATCCAACAATAGAGCATTTATTTCCAGTGATTCAAGTTTCACTTTGGATCTTTTAGTAACATTATAAAAAGCTGCTGTATTTATTGTTTAGATTATTCACAGGTATTTTTTGATTTGGGGCTATAGTAAAAGAAAGATGTTCTTCCATCGTCTGACAAGTTTTTTGTGTGTGCATAATGGCTATTGATTTTGGGATGTTGATTTTGTGCCAACTACCTTATTGAAATATCTTATTGCTTGTGATAGTTTTTTTAGTTTTACAGGATACAGTTTGTAAGTATTCTTCATGTCATTATAAATAATTTCAACTTTGCCACCCCTTTGAAGTTTTTATAACTCATTTCTTTCTCATGTAAATTCCATTAAGTAGTACCTTCACAAAAGTATTAAACATAAGTGATGATAGTCAATTTGTTTATTTTGTTCTCAACTTTAATACACATTTTCTTATTTTGGCTCGTAAAAGACACATATATGCTATGCACATATAATTATATTTACGTGTTGCACATGTATGTGCATATATGTATTCAAAATGTATACATATAAATAATTGCCTTCACCTATATACACAGTGAGGAACTATGTATGTATCAGTCTTATCCAGTATGGATATGGTTTTTGATAACAGGAATTTTCTATATCAATATATATGACATTTTCTTTATAATTATAGCAAATCACATTTATTGATTTCCCAATATTGATGTGTAAACAGACTGTAACCTACTTTTGTGCCAATCATGGCGTTTTGGCAAATCAAAGGCAGTCAATTGTTCAAACCGTGCTCAAATAAGACAAAAGCCAAGCTATAATATATAAAATGTATACATATAACTAGTCTGGCTCTTTCTGTATGTCACTTCATTTTCTGTATGTCACTTTCCTTTTTCTGTCCATAAACCTTTTTTTGACCAGCAACAGTGGTAAAGTCTCTCTGAATCTATTCTTTTTCAGAGGCTGTCCCATTCGTGAATTGGTCTTTGATCAATCGACCTCTGATTAAAATTTCTAACATTTTTCTTTAGCAAGACAATAGATGTTTTGAGACAGAAAAAAAGAGACAGAAAAACATCATGTAACTTTTAGTACGGCATATTGTTATGATTGTTCCTTTATTTTCATGATTTTTATTTTTTTCTTTTTTCTTGCCCTTAGCATATGAAGAAACCATTCTCTTTTATTATGAGTTATTGTTAGGATAACTTCAGTTTTGATTATATGGCTTTAGGCAGTTGGCCTTGAGATATATCTAAACTGTGGCCTCCATTTTTATTTATTTTTAGTAATGTGCAGGTGTATATGATTTACACCAACATATGCGCATACATACACTCCTAGAAAGAAATACACATTGACAGAAAGGGATTATTGACTTTTACTTCTCTCAGGTGAAATATCTTATTGTACCTAATTTGTAAAGATAAGTTTATCACAAGTATGTATATATAGGGAAAAACATAGTGTATATAGGCTCTGGTGCTATCAGTGATTTCAGGCATCCACTGGGGATTTTGGAATGTGTCCCCCATGGATAAGGGGAGAATACTGTATTTATTTTTCCAACCTTTTCCTCATGCTCTTATATCTGTTTTGGGCTCCTAATTTAAATGGATACATTTTCCATGTAATTTTGTCAAAGTTGTGTATCTTTTCCATGTTAATATTTTTCTGCTATGTCTCCCTTACTTGCCGTTTGTATTTTTCCTATTATTTATTATGTAACTTATAGGATCTTTGTAGAGATTATAAGCCAAACATTTAAAATTATTATTTACCTGTGAATGAGAGAAGTTCTACTTTTGCCATCATCTCTTGGTAGAGATTTTCCACGGTTTAAAAGTGAGAACAGTTTACAGACAGCCAGGATATCTTCCTCGTTTATAAAGAAATTTCTCACAACACAAGGTTTTAGGTTTGTGTGTGTGTTGTCAAAAAATACATCAAGTCAAATTTTAAAAATGTACAAGCTTATTTTGATTATAAAACAATAGTTTTCAAACTGGGATTTCCCAAACTAAGTGGTTAAAAAGCTCACCTTACAATAACTATGGCACAGCTTATAAAGCTCAGAAAAAGGAATTTGGCATTTTTTTAAGATTGGCTGTTATACATGAACATTTATTTTAAGGCAAACTGAGCTGTTTAAGTTGATAGATCTATAGTTGATCGGTTCAATTTCACTGAATCATGCTGACAAGAACATAAAGTTTATGGCTTCTTGGTTTATGATGAGAGCTAGGGTTTCAGGAAAATCAGGATAACTTAAGCTTTGACTATATAGCTATAGGCAGTTGGCCTTGAGATATGTCTCAACTGTGGTCTCCATTGTTATTTATCATTAACAATGTGCGTGTATATAAGATTTACACAGAAACAGAAACGTGCACACATACACTCCTAGAAAGAAATATAAAGTGATGGAGCTTTTACTTCTTCCAGCTGAAAGAAATCATCAGTGTCAGGGCTGTTACAGATCTGAGGCTCGCCTTTATCTGGCCATAACGACAGAATGCTTTCGGCATATTCTGCATGTCCGTGTGCTGTCTGCTGCAGTCTCATCTCCTTGCTTCTCTGTGACGCTAAAAATGGTCCAGAAAAGCTCCTATCAGCTATCCTACCATTCTGGAGATTTATTCCGAAGTTACAATTTTATCCCTCAGGATGGCAAACTACCTTAAAGAATTCTCCATGCCAGCGTTATTTTATGGTACAGCTGTAGATTTCTTTTCTCAGCATTTCCTTGCATCATATTATTTTCGCTAGTCTTAGCAGGCCTCATTTGTCTATTTTTTAGAGCTACAGGTAGTTTTTAGTTTCACCAAAGATAGAGCTGTGCTTTCATCTCTTCTTTTACAATTCTCTCGTTGTTTTGGAATGATTTCAGAGAGAAGAGGCAAAGACCACAGAAATGTTATTATTATGCCATTGTAAACCAGAAGTTAATTCTTAAAATTTATTTTGTTATCAACTTCTGTGTCTTCTGTCAACTTTGGACTTACTCATTAACCAATTGAGGGTTAATGTGGGGAGATATCTGAATAATAGTAACATTAATAGGACAATCTTACAAAAACCTGCGGCATTGATATTGGGTCAATCAAATGACTTTGGGATATTTGGGTTATGTCTTGATCAGGAGACTCCTGATAATCTGATTCCAGTATGATATTGATTCTTCCAAGAGAGGGGTCATAGTTTCAGTTCAAGATGAGACTATTCCTCCTACTCTAATATTCCTATTGGTATATGAAAGTGGAAATGTCAGAACAATGAAAAACATTGAGAGGGAGAATAAGGCACGGGGGAAGGAAACTATCTAGGGTTAGAAGAAGTGTTTTGCAGTGGAAGGATTTCTGAAGGAGGTAATGCATGAGCTGGATCTTGAAGGATGGGCGAAAGGATGGGAAGACATGAGCTGAAATGAGAAGAAATAACAAATGAAAGGCAAGGAGAATTGAGAAAGCATTATGCATTAGTGTTCTATGGTTGCATAGCAAATGGTCACAAACCTAGCAGCTTAAAAAAACACTCATATTATCTCATAGTTGTGCAGGTCAGAATTTTGGGTATATCTCAGCTGCAGTGTCTCCTTGGTATCTCACAAAAATACAGTAAAGTATCAGCCTGGCTGGTGTTCTTATCTGGAGTTTAGGATCTGCTTCCAAAATTATTTAGATTGTTTGATGAATTCAGTGACTTGTGGTTATAGAGTGAAGTCTTCTGTGGCCAAGAAGGCATCTGGTGCAGCTTGGAGTATCTCAAGCTTCTTTCATCTCTGACCTTCGCATCCTCTTTCCAAAGGACTCACTTGATTGAGTCAAGACAACTCGCATTCAAGGGAAGGAAATTATGCAGCATGTGCACAGAAAGGGGTAGGCATCTTGTGAGCCATTTTAGTCTACCTACTACACACAGTGTTTTGAGAGAGACTTGAGACCTTTGGTATGACTGCAGTACAGACTGGAAACAGGCAAGCTGGATGAGCAGATAGATGCCTGATGTCTGTCATGCCATAGCATTTGAAGACTTTTTTTTTACATACGATGGGCGCTACGGAAAAATTTTAAGCAAGATCTTTGCTGCTTTATCAGCAATGTGGAAGATGCATTGGTGGAGTATGAAACTGTAGAAAGAGATATTTTAATAAAGAATATTAAAGTGTTCCTGGAAAGAGCTAATAAATTAAAGTTTTGATAGTAAGTGAGCATAGAAAGTTTACCTTTAGATACTAAGGAGATAAATTTGACTGTTTTAATGTACTCTACATTTACCTTTATATATTCACTATCTGCTATGTGATAAACACCATTCTAGGCATCAAGTCAGAATAAATATAAAATAGATGTTTTTTTTTAAAGTAGGGAAAGACAAAAACAGGCAAATTCATAAATGAGGTAATTTGAGATTTATTTCCTGCATGAAAACAACTGGATAGGGTAACAAAGCGGAGAACATGTCAGTTAAGCTGCTTTGGTCTGAAATGAACATTAGACTCAACTTCAAATGGCTTAAGTATAAGTGAGATTTATTATCACACATAAAAAGAAGACTAGAGGTAGTGTAGTGATCTAACTCAACAATGTCATTTAGACTCTGGTTCTCTTTGTCTTCTCTGCCATCATTAGGATGTTGGCTTCTAACCTCAGGTTTTACCCTTCCTGGAACAAGATGGCTGCAGCAGTGCCAAGCTTCACATTCTTACACAACAGTGTCCAGCTGATTGTTGAGAGGTTAGGTCTTGTTTGACACCTCCCCATCCTCACCTTTTAAGACAAAGAACATTTCTCAGAATCTCATCAGCAATCTTTCTTTCATGTCTCATTTACCAAAGGACAACCCATGCCCATTTTTATACCACATCACTCAAAGTTTATTCAAAGCACTGTAACTGAGCTGGATGTGGTGGCTCACACCTGTAATCCCAGAAATTGGAAGGCCGAGGTGGGCAGATGGCTTGAGCCCAGGAGTTTGACACCAGCATGAGCAACATAGTGAAACCCAGTCTCTATAAAAAATTAAAAAAAAAAAAATGAGCTGGTGTGGTGGTGCCCACCTGTAGCCCCAGCTCCTTGGGAGGCTGAGGTGGAAAGATCACTTGAACACAGGGAGGTCAAAGCTGCAGTGAGCCATGATTGCACCCTGGTACTCCAGCCCGAGTGACAGAATGAGATCTTATTGAAGAAAAAAACAAACAAACAAACAAAAAAAACAAAAACAAAACAAAAAAAAACTGTTTTAGAAAATTAGAAGTTTCTAAAAATTTTAAAACTTCAGATCTATACCAGAATTTCTGTGTGTGGAGCTCTTGCACTGGTTGAAAACTTCAGGGTTAGACTTATGAATAATGAAGTGCATCAGATTTAGACTAATGGGGATTGAGCTCACATCCTCTGAAACATGTAGCTATGCGAAGAGGGTATACAAACTCAGAGTGTTGTTAAACATAAATAAGAGGAAAAGAGTTGTCTGTTGAGGAAAATGACATGGCAAGATAATATTTTAAATAGAAAGTTAAGAACTATTATTTCTAAGGAGGTGATACATGAGCAAAAACCTAATCATGAGAAGGCAGCCAGCCAGAACTGGGCAAAGTGGAAGGAAGTAAAAGGCCTTAAGTTGAAAATGACCTTGGAATAGCAGAAGACAAAACGAAAACCAATGTTAAATAAGTTGGTGGAGTCAGTTTCCATAGTCCTTGATGGTTCCAACACGGAGCATGGACTAAGGGCCGTGACATGCTATGTTACAATATGGTGCTTCGTTGCAGCCTGATAGAATTTACTTTTCTTCTAAACATTCACTTCTGAAAGAATAAATCATGTAGAGGACTTAAGTGAGAAGAGGAGAGTCTTTTAGCAGTTTATGCAGCAATCCAAGTGCTTTGGAGAGAAAGAGAAGTGAACGGATTTAAAAATAAATCCATTTCATGTTTTCCTGGTAAATTGAAAGTGTCAGGTGAGGAAAATAAAAAAAGAGAGGGAGTATAAGGAAAATAAATAATCCCTCTCATGTTTAAGGTACTGAAGAAATGGGTAAACATGGATGGTCTGATTGACTAACAGAGTCACAAAGAAAATAGAAAGTTAAAAAATATATTTTTAGAAGCTAAAATTAATATTGGAGGAAGATCCGAAGGTACTGGTTGAAAGAAATAACAAACATAACTCATGTATGTAAATCCAACTATTTGGTATGAATAAACAACACACAGACTCTAGGCTATTTCTAACTGGAATTATAATGAAAAAAAATCCAAAAATTAAACCCTTATGAATGTAAAAGAGAGCAACAACTTGTAATGGTGGTTTCAAACTTAAAAATATGTGGAAATAGTTTATGGTGGACAGATATTTCCAGGAAGTTGACAATGCCATACTCTATGAAACTGTAGGCAAGAATTTCACCAAGCTAGCAAATAAAGAAGGCCATTTGTTTGGAAATATTTGTGATAAACACTGCCTGGAGAGAAAATTAGAGAAGTCCCCAGTTCCCTTCAACCCATCATCTTCCTTCGACCGCACACTATTACATATTCATGCATTATGCCTAACTACATTAAGATTATCAAGAAAGCACAAATCAGTTTGTAATTTGTGTTCTTGACAAGTTAACTCAACACTGCAAAATATATCAACTACTACCTTTAGGAATTTGTTGGCTAAAAGAAGAAAAATTTTCTAAAAGCTTATTTTCCTCATGGTGGTTAATGTGGACAATTTAAATGTAACCACACAGTGAAAAACATACTTTTCAGTTTCTGATACTGTGGGAATATCTGCAAGTTATCAAGATGTAGTAAAAGAATATCTATAAAATAATTTGTTGCAGGACCAATTTTGCCAACTAAAATTGAAAAAATAAAAATACTATAAGTGTCATGTTAATGGAGAAGTACAACTGATGTTTATAAAATTGAAACAACAAATATATACTAGGACCTTGTTTAATGTTATCACAATATAATGTTTTGTTTCAAGGTGTGAAAAAGTACTTCATTTATTCATTCAGTGAATATTTATTGAAATAACTACATATGCCAGACTCTATTCTAGGTAGTGAATAAACATTAAAAAATTCTCATTCTCATTGAGTTTATATTCTAGTGACAGAGAAAAAACAAAAACAAATAATAAGAAACCCACAAAAATAAATAAACCCCCAAGAACCGAGAGAATATACCTGTTCCTTGAGACAGGCATATTTTTTTTCTTGCACTTTGCTATGCAAACAGTATCTGACTTAGAGATTCATTTCAAGGTCACTTGGAGTGGATATTACACTCACTATGGATAGGTTTACATTCTACATCTAGGTTCAATGCTTGTGTCACAAAAGCAGAGTGAAATTAAAGCTATTATTCAGGCAATTAAGATCATGTGCCCTAACACTTCAATCAATGCTTCCCAACCATTTTCAGCCACCACACCATTCACATTCACAAAACAGTTCTGTAAGTAAGTTATTTCAACAGAACTTAATAATTCTCAACTAGGAGGCAATATGCATCATCTCAATGTGGGCAGAATAGGTGGAGGAAGGAAAGGACCTAGAATTTCCAGAGATGTTTAGATAGAGGAAATACTTTTTCTCCATTCTTCATCTGATGTCACCTTTTCACAGTTAAAAGTCAGTAATTTAAAATAAGCAGCATATCTATCTATCTCATTATTTAAGAATATCTACATAAATGCCACAATAATAGCAGCTAATGATAGTGCTTACTATGTTTCAGGCACTGTTCTAATAGATTTAATTCTGAAACCAACCCCTGATTAGAAAACCAAGGCATGGAGAAGTTAAGTGACTTATCTTAGGTCCCACAGCTAGTAAGTGACAGAGCTGGGATTCAAAATCAGGTGTCAATACCAGACACTGTGGTACTACTCTACTAAAAGAACACACAAATATATAACCATGGTTAAAACATACCATTATTCAATTGTTCATTTACGAAAAATTTAATATACAGTTTATTTCTTTTTGGCATGATCAGAAACTTACTGTTGGATCTTTCTGATTATGTCAAAAAGAGATGGAGTAAATATAAATTTAGCTAGTCCCTGAAGCTTGAATGGCTCTAATTAATAGCAGTGAGCTAGGTCCATACTTCTGAGTTTATTGAAATCTTTCATGAAGTCGTGCATCAAACTGGATTCTCATCCTTGAAGTGGAAACACTTGTTCAGCATAACCTTATGAGGATCAGGATCTGAAACACTGCTAGTTCTGGAAATACGAACCACCACAATAAAAACAATACTGGGAGTATCACTCATTTCCTCCTTTGTTTATTGACTTGCATCAATGTGCATCTGGGATACATAATGATGGAATTCATAGGTCCTGTTCTATGGCATTGTGGAAGCTACTGGAGCTTCGTGTGGCAGGTTTTTTTTGTCTATAAAAGCCATGTAAGAGTAAGTGAGAAATAAATTATAAACTGTGAATGTGAAAACATTTGTCACAGTACCTGGAATATATAAATGATAAATAAATGGTATATATCAGTTCTATTAATCTAAATGTTTATCAAAAATAGGTTTTTCTTGTTAAATAATTTTATTGAGTACTCCTTGGTAGAAAATGCTTAAATTGAGATTAAATAATTATTCATTATTTCAGGTTTTTTTTTTTACTTTTTCTGTTTTATTTATAAGCGACAAAACTTCTACATAACACATACCAGTGTGTACTTATACACACATTCACACACCTGCATGTAAGCATACATATACCCTTTCTCTCTCTCTCTCTCACACACACACACACACACACACACACACACACACACACATAGAATATGCAGGTAGATATGTTTTGATATAGTTTGTCTTTCTGTATGTTTGATTATTATGGTGCTTTTTCCCAAGTCCTAGAAATAGATAATGGGTTTTTTCCCCTTCCTACTGAAATTTGACTGTATTTCAACATTTTCTTTCAGAACAAAACTCTCCTCTCTGCTTTCAAAGTTGTTAGCTACCAAATCTGATGAAAAAGTCCTTGTTAGTAGTGTGACGGCAAAGTATTTTAGCACCTATTTCTAGATCCAGATAATACATAACAGTTCCAAATAATACATAGTGTGTTCATAGTATCTTCCTGAAGGCAATAATTTCATATCCACCGTACTTTCCAAAAGAGCTATTTCAATGGTGGGAATTTAAAGCAAGCAAAAAAGGAAAATTATAACAAAGGAGGATGAAAAAGATGATTTGTGTAGGTTGTTAGGATTCTCCAATTTTATTCTTATTATTTCTTTCATTTTAGCAATAATCAAACTTTACATTAATTCAACAAAGTTACTTCCCTCCCTCCAGGCATTGCCAATATAAAAAAGATTTTGGATTTTTAAGCAGAAAATGACAGCAGTATTTTAATCACAAAAGGCAATCATGTAATTAGCATTTATTATGTACCCATTTAAACGTCCTTTCTTTCAGAAAATGTCTTGTGAACACTGCAAGATATGAGACATGATAAATTACTCAAGTACAACATATGCCCGGTGGATGAGTTCACAATCCAATTGAAAAAATAAAACCAAAACAATGAGAGTATTGATTTATATACGCAAGTATTAAATTATTAGACTCGCATTACAAGAACTCTGGATAGCTATCAATACCTTAACTTTGACATTTCCAACTGCAAATGCCATTGCATGCTATATAGATCTTTTTACCCATAATCTACACTTCTGCTATTCTCTCTGTGTTCTCTCAAGTATCTTGCCTTTTTGCCAACTATTCTTCTAACAATAACTTGTCAACTAAAACAATGCTTAAATCCTATGTCATCTATTTGGATTTTTTTCTGATCTCTATGGTATTATCAATCAAATCTCAAAAATTCAGAGGTTCTCCTTCATTACTAGGTATTTTATATATTAGTCTTGCTTCTTCAAATAGAGGAAAGCTCTTTGAAGGAAAGAATCACGTCTCTAGTTTTCGAAATGTAATTAAGAAAGTTTTAGCAAGTGTGTTCATACAAAAAAAATTTTGATAAACATGTTAATTGAAGAGAAGAGATTAACAAGCCACATTTATTTCAGCATCCATTTTGTCTAATGACCATTAAGCTTTAATTAACTTTGAGTCAACATGCTTCAACCACCTTTTTCCCTGCTAGTTGTGCCCGATTAGAAAATAAAATATTTATCATCATATTGCCCCAAATTTACTAAAAATACTAAGGCTAGATACTTTGTGTTCCTATGAATTATTCTTAAAATTATATTACATTGTTATTGCTATTTGACTAAATGTACAAAATATATATAGCTTGAAGAATATGAATATAAATAAAAGTGACTCACAACTACAAGAATAAACATTACTCAGTAGATAACCAAGTGGTACCCTACTACCCACAGGTAATACTAATGGTCTCAGAGCAACATTTATATAATCACACTTCAATGGAAATCATTGCAATTAGAATAACATGCTATTTAGTTGGCTCTGATCTGATGATGCTCATGACTAGCTAAATTTCAACAGATTTCAATGTATAGCCTTGGACAAAGGTTGGCACTACCCACATTTTTACATGTAGCTAGAATATGTTCATGTTGTATAATATTTTCATTTTATGGCTTTTATCCCACAAATGGCATTTTAATAGAGGATCGTTCCATTAGTAAACAGACTGGTCTTGCTGACACATCTTTCCTTTTAAAATATACTTTGGCTGAATTCTAACAAAATCATTTTGAATGCAAAAGGGATGCTTTTCAAGCCAGATGGTTTATCTAATAGGAATGTTTTCTGATTAGAGAAACAGCAGTAGACTCATGATCACAGCAGGTGCCAAACTGGTTCTGTAGCTTACATGAATTTGCAACTGAACAAGTCATGAACTAAAGGGAATCTATTTTGAAATGTGCCACAGTCTATTCTGAGAAGAAGGGAGAGTGTAAAAGTTGCTACCATATTAAATAGGGTTCATATGGCATTTCTTGATGTGAATGTGGTCATTATTGCATTTGTGATAAAATCTATTTGTATACTAAATTTCCTGAGTATGTTGTAGAGAAGATTAATAACACTTCAAAATCATAAAGCTTACAGAGCATTTTATGATGGGATAATAATCTAAAGTGTTTTTTTGGGTCAAAATAATTTGGAATCTTTTAATTGGAAAAAATGTATCTTTTTTTTTCTTTCTTGTTTTCCTTATTCCTTGTACCTGTATTCTGCTTTTGTTTCAAGAAAAAAAATTTTACATGTACTGGTAATTAGGGAAACAGAATATTATTGGTATGATAGGCCCAGCCATGTCTAAGTGTGCATAAAAGGAAACCTCCCAGGCATTGCAGAGATGGCATCCCCATTCAGGTTCCGAGTAATGGACTGTTGCCTTTTACTATAGTATAAGTTGCTCCTGGGTGCTGAGATGACTATTGGGTACAAAAGACAGTGAGCCAGTAGATTCACACTGAGACTTAGTAGCTTCCCATTCTTCATGGTCTGACAATACCATCAAACTTTGATGCACCTTAATGGCATACAAAAGGAAAAGTATGTAGTCTAGGAGAAAAGATGTATAGCCCCCTATGATGGTTAACCCTGACTGTCAACTTGCTTAGATTGAAGGATACAAAGTATTGATCCTGGGTGTGTCTGTGAGGGTGTTGCCAAAGGAGATTATCATTTGAGTCAGTGGGCTGGGAAAGGCAGACCCACCCTTAATCTAGATGGGCACAATCAAATCAGCTGCCAGCATGGCTAGAATATAAGCAGGCAGAAAAATAGTGAAAAGAGAGACTGGCCTAGACTCCCAGCCTGCATCTTTCTCCCATGCTGGATACTTCCTCCCCTTCCTTGAATACTGGACTCCAAGTTCTTCAGTTTTTTAACCTGGCCTGGATCTCCTTACTCCTCAGCCTGCAAACAGCCTATTGTGGGACCTTGTGATCCCGTGAGTTAATGCTTAATAAACTCGTATAATGGACAGACTCCATTAGTTCTGTCCCTCTAGAGAACCCTGACTAATCCAGAATTTGGTACCAGAAATGGTTCTAGAGGAACAGAATATTAAGGATAGAGTTCCTTCATTGGTTTTGGGGTTTCTGGAGTTGGCTGCTTAATATGATTAAACACAAAAATGCTAAGGACTCTACATCTAATCGTATGGAGAACACTGATAGTCCTTGGCGTGAACTGTTTATAGAGTTATGCAAGATAAATGCATTTGACAGTCCTGATTCATTGCTCATGAGAGGCAAGGAGTTTAATGACTCTATACATAATACCTTTGACCATAGTGGAGAACCAAGGAACATAACGAAGCTGGTTGGCTGCTAAAAAAACAAAGTGATGAAAGAAAATGATGAACTCAGGGATTCTATCTCCCAGCTTCAGAAGCAGACACTGAGCGTTAAATCTGCTAAGATTGTCCTGAGTGAGAGTCTTATCTCGTGTAGAGAAAGAGCTGAAATTGTGGAAAAACAGACACAGGCTCTTATGTGAGTGGCTGACCTGCAATGAAAGGCGCATGCACAGCCTTGCCAAGTGTCCATTGTTAAACTGAGTACGTTGATTGGAAAAGAATGGGAGCCTGCAACTTGGCATGCAGATGTGTGGGAGGACCCTGATGAAACTGGGGACACTGAGTTTGTAAACGCTGATGAACCTTTTTTTGCTAGAAGAAGCAGCTTCCCCATCCCCAGTATTGGCAACATCCCCTCCCTGACCCATGCTGCCATCAGCCTTTTCACCTTTGTCTGAGGAGATAAACCCTGCGCTGCCTGAGGCAACAGTGATGACCTCCCCTGAGGCAGTTGCCAGGCAAGATAACGTTGATTCTCCTCAGGAGCCACCCCCAACACCCCTGTTTGCTTCTAGACCTATAACTAGACTAAAGTCCTGGCGGGCCCCTAGAGGTGAGGTTGAGAGTGTAACCCATGAGGAGTTACACCACCCTCAAAAATAACTGCTTGAGTTTGCTAATTTGTAGAAACAGAAATCTGGAGAACAGGCATGGGAATAAATATTAAGGGTGTGGGATAATGGTGGAAGGACCATAGAGTTGAATCAGGCTGAATTTATTGATTTGGGCTCTGTATTTAACTTTGCAGCTCATGGAATTTAAAAAGGTTCTAATAGTTTATTTGCTTGGTTAGCTAAAATATGGATTAAAAGATGGCCCACTGTGAGTGAGCTGGAAATGCCTGATCTTCCTTGGTTTAATGTAGAGGAGGGGAACCAAAGGTTTAAGGAGATTGGGATAGTGGAGTGGATTAGTCACTTAAGACTTACTCATCCCAGCTGGGAGGGTCCAGAAGATATAACTTTGACCAATGCCTTGTGAAATAGATTTGTGAGGGCAGCACTCACATCTTTGAAGAGCCCTGTAATTGTTCTTCTCTGTAAGTTAGATCTAACCATGGGAACCACAGTCACTCGACTACAGATTTTAAATACAATGGGAATAATTGGATCCCAAGGTGGCAGGGGCCAAATGGCAATACTCAACCATCAAAGACAGGGTTGCCATAGCTACTGTAATGGACAGCAGAGGCAAAGCAGCAATCAGAATAGTCTGACTCATGTAGAGCTCTGGCATTGGCTAATTAATCACAGTGTTCCTAGAAGTGAAATTGATAGGAAACCTACAAAGCCCCACAATAGGCTGTCTGCAGGCTGAGGAGCAAGGAGAGCCAGTCCAAGTTCCAACACTGAAGAACTTGGAGTCCAAAGTTCAAGGGCAGGAAGTATCCAGCACGGGAGAAAGATGTAGCCTGGGAGGCTAGGCTAGTCTCTTTTTTCACATTTTTCTGCCTGCTTATAGTCTAGCCATGCTGGAGCTGACTAGATTTTGCCAACCCAGATAAAGGGTGGGTCTGTCTTTCCCAGCCCACTGACTCAAATGTTAATCTCCTTTGGCAACACATTCACAGAAACACCCAGGATCAATACGTTGTATTGTTCAATCCAATCAAGTTGACGCTCAGTATTAACCATGGCAAGTTATTTTTGTTCCCCTAGAGAACCCTGACCGATGAGGGAACCCCCACCTACTTTCTTATCTTATTTACGTCAGTCACCTACTTTCTTATTTATATCAGCTATTCTGTTTATTTACTGCTTTGGAAGTAACTAAAGTAAAAGTAATCTAGAATTGAGTCCAAGTCATCATTCTCACTTATTGTCACCCCAGGCAAATTTCATGATCTGTTCTAAAACAGTTGGTTAGACTGTTGGTACCTGGAACATGTTCAAGTCAGAGATGCATCACCTAGAAGAATCATAATTTTGAAATTTTTGATAGTTCAAAATGCAAATGAAATTAGATTTCTATAGTGATATAAATGCAGTTATCTAAGTACTCTCTAAAGGTGTTCAGTAAGCATCAAAATATGTCTAAATGTAAGTTAAAACTTGAGGTCTCATTTTTAAAAGAAATATATTGATTGGGCCCATTTTTCCATATATGGATTTGTCATTGTAGGAATCAAAACTTTATATGGCTCATTATTACAAGTATCTTTACTAAGTAAATTCCTATACCTTATATCATTTCCTCTAACTAACCAAACTTCTTCAGAATTTTTAAGTATTGATTTTGTTTTAACCACTTGTTTTGGTAGTTATTAATACAAATACTTAAAGTTTTATAATACCTAACCACTTGATGTAGTAAATTTTGGATATTATTTAGATTAGCTATGAGTTTTATAGCATATTATACATTTATCTTCTATATTCTGTTTAATTCCTTCATAATTCACATCATGCAGAATAGAACATTAATGTGCTTATTTCATTAAAATTATGAGGTTGCTTACAGGAGTGTGAAATAGGGAACCTGGATTGAACTTTCTACTTAAATTATAATAGTCTATAATGAAACCTCTTCCAGCATTAAGCAATGTTATAGCATCGTTCATCCTTGCCTAAATGACCATTAACCTGCTCTTCTTTAACTTTTAAAATATTTCTATCTTTGTTCTAGGTCAGTGTTTTGTAACCAGAATAGAGGTAAGACAATGTATACAGGTAACCTACAATTTCCCAATGAGAACAGTTAAATTTCCCTCTCCATCTAAATAATATTGTATGCATGTACATAAATGTATGTATGTGCATATGTATGTAGATTTATATATGCATACATATGTGCTAAAGTCAAATAACCTGGGTGGTCATTATAAACAAGAACTTCCATGAGATTCCAGTGCTCACACTGCATATCAGTTTGAAATGAATTGTTTAAGAACTTCAGTTATATGATCTTTCGTCATTCATGATGTGCTCACTAAACAAGCCAAATCCAATTAATTCAACATTTTCTGTCCCAAGGAGGTCTCATGGAAATTTGAATGGAGAAAAATGGAGAGAGAACTCAATCACATGGAGTGCAGTAGGAGCCATGTACCAAACTGAAAAGGCTGTAGTCACATCAGGTAGTGCCATTTTTATGCCTCAAGTACACAGTTAGTTTGTGCAAAATAACATTACCATTAAATCCATTTAATGTTAATTTTATGTGTGCAATACTTTAAATATGTTTTGGGACAAGCTAAATCTATAAGGAGTGTATACCTAAATATGTATTTATTTGGATTTAAGAAACTGTATAATAAAAGTAACTTAAGTCATTACTGGTGGTGAGGAGAATACTTTGCATCCTTCCAAGGGAATATTCACATTTCTCAAGCATGAGAAATGCTGCTATAGTCTATGTGTACTCTCTGTGGTCTTGGGGTTTGTTACAGTGATGGGGCAAGACACAAGAATCAATTTGTTCCTTCAGGAGTTGGTAAATATTTTTGTAAATGACCAAATAGTAAATATCTGGGGCTGTGCAAATCAGAGCCTCTGTTGCAAACACTCACATCTAGCAAAAATGCAGCACAGACAATAAATAAATGAATGGGCATACTTGTGTTCTAACAAGATTTTATTTACAAAAACAAGTACTTCACCAGATTGGATCTGTAAAGTAAACTTTGCTCACCCCTAAAACTACCTGAGTGGGACATCAGGAGATGCACTAATAAAATATTTCAAAAGTCACCAATTACCCTAGCTTCTACAAAGGATATCCTAGTACTATTAACATAGTATTCCAAAAGAACACAAGCACAAAGCTATCAAGTTGTTTCTTACTTTAACTTAGAAATGGCTTATTATTTAAAGATGCTGAATAAAATCTACCAGAAGTAAAAGAGATAATATTCTCAACACATAGAAATGATAAGTAGCGGAGGCGATGGATATCCATACATGCATACATTCTATGACTATAATAAAATATCATATGTACTCCATAAATATACACAAATATTAAGTATCAGTGAAAAAATTTTTAAAGGTACATTTTATACACATCAAAAACTTAACAGTGACATAAATTAGCCACCTTATTAAATATTTAAAAATAAACATTCACCACTCCTAAAGCCAGCATTTCATTTTTCTCCCTTAAACATAAATTTTCAGAAACCTTTATGGTTATGATCTTTATGAATTTGGCTACTTTTTTTGGAAAACAGCAATGTGCTAAGGTAACACATTTTAGTAATGAGAGCAAACCACCTCTCTAATGTCAGCATGAATGTTTCTAATGCATTCTAAGTACCCTGGTTCTGAACAATAGCTTCACATATTTTGAACAATGATTACCTTTAGAACAAATAAATATAACACATCAGGCACTTTCTCTTCTTGCCAACTCAAAGGTATTAATTGAAAAGCAATAAAGATAACCAAAGAAAGTACATACTATTTTTTAAAACAGATTTCATATTAAATATAATTAGTTGATACTTTGTGAAAACCAGATAATTCAATTCTTTCAGCAAAACAGCATTTCTTCTACTCAAAATACATTTATGGTATTAGGAGGAAATCCTGATGCTTAAAGAAGTTTAATGAATGACATGTGTTACTACTTAAGCAATTTTACAGCAAAGGTAATTTGTTGTATCTAATGGTGTACATGATTGTGTTTTATTTTGTTTGTAAAACAGACATAAAGTAGTGAATCATTTATATCAATGTCTAATGGTCATTACTTCCACTCAGCTAAATTTTGATGTTTAGCTTTCCATTTTATTTTTTAAATTCTTTATAGAGGATTGTAACTTTCTAATTTGCCATACTCATTTTTCTTTATTTTCCCCTCTGATATAATTCAGCTGTGTCTCACCAAAATCTCTTCTTGAATTGTAGTTCCCAAAGTCTCCACGTGTCATGGGAGGGATCTGGTGGGAGGTAATTAAATCACGGGATGGTTTCCCCCATGCTGTTCTGGTGACAGTGAGTGAGTTCTGATAGTGAGTGAGTTCTGATGGCTTTATCAGCATCTGGCATTTCCCCTGCCAGCATTCATTGTCTCTCCTGCCACCCTGTGAAGAGGTGCCTTCCACCATGATTCTAGGTGTCCTGTGGCTTCCCCAGTCACTTGGAACTGTAAGTCAATTAAACCTCTTTTCTTTATAAATTACCCAGTCTTGGGTATTTCTTCACAGCAGCATGAGAATGGACTAATATACCTACTGTTACCTTATTACGTTTATACTTTCATTCTTTCTTTTGCCTGTTATTTTTTATTTAGGTCATTGGCAAACATTTATTAATTATTTTACATTAAATTAGCCATTAAAGGTATTTTGAGTTCACAACATGCCTGGCATTTTACAGTGGATGCTTACATAGAAAGCAGCCATGTATAGAGTGATGAATAATAACAGCAAGAGCATCTAGCCTTATTGGGGCAGGGCATGGAGGGTGTCAAGCTTTTATTAACACTGGCTATAATTTGAAGTAAGTAGCCTTAAAAGAAGTAAATGTTCATTGAAAATATTCAGTAATACAGAAGTATTAATATATACGTGAAAAGTACATTTTTCATACCTATCTCCCAAGCTCTTACACACTTGTAATCTGTCAGCACATCAATATATACAATATACATTCTGCACATGCAAATGTAAATGTTTATATATGTATCTGTGCCTGTATATACAGGTATAAAAATACATTACAATGTATTTCTTTTTACAAAATGAAACCTGACCTTGTACACTGCTCTCTTTTATTTTTTTCCCCATTCATCAAACACAGAAGCGTGGGCATCCTTGTACAAAAGTACATCTCATTTTTATATCAGCCAGCTACTCCAAATTGAAAATATCCTTTCCTTTATTAAATTATCCCCCTATTGATAAAATATAAGGCATCTGTATTTTTTTTCCTAAAAATGATGAAATACTGAACACCTAAATGGGGGAGTTTGTATAACTTTGAATTTGCCAGCAGAATTTTTGAGTCAAAGTGTTTGCACACTCACATGTTGACTGACAGCTTAAAGTAGTTTGTCTTCCAATTTGCTTTCCATCAACTGTGTATATTTCACCACACTGCCACATTCACTAATCATTGCCTTTTGTAAAAAAGGCAGTTTTTTGGAGAAATTTTGAATTGTATTTATTTCAGATACATTTCATAATCACCAAAGTAGTTTTACATTTTTACATGATTCTTGCTCTTATTTATTTCTTCCTCTGTGAATTATCTTCACTTCCTTTGTCCATTGCTCTGTCATGTTGTTTAGATATTGTTCTCATTGATTTAGTGTTGTTAATACATATTGACCATTAAGCCATCATTTACTATGTTGGTATTCTTTTTGTAACTGTTGTGGCTGTAGTTAGCCATAAATTACTTTTAAATTAATTATATGTAGTTTTAGTTGTCATTGTTTTGTTTCCAGGCCACATATCTTGAACAGAAAAGAGTCTCTCAAGAAAATAAAAACATTTTATTGATTATATATTTTATTTTAACATTTTATATGTAATAATTGAGATCTATTTAATGAGTTGAGTACATTTCTTTTTTTCACTTTTCTTTTTCTTTTGTATTTGTTATAACTAGCTTAAGCCACAATGATTAGAGTTTTATTGGATGTATACATTTATTTGACACACATTTGGTATGCTTATGTTTTGGTATGTTTTATTTAGTTCTTCAATAAAGATTTGTATTTTTTGCAAAAAAAACTTAAGTATTTTATGTTTGGAATAAATATACATATTTTGTAGTTGTTTTCTCATGAAGGAATTTTTTTTCTTAATATTGTCTTACTAAGAATCACAAGAAAACTATTGGAGTATGTTAGAACTTCAACTAGTTCAAATAATTTATTTGAGTAGCTTATATTTTTTATGTATTAATCAAATAATCTACCATTTGCCAATGGTAGAGTTTTTTTATTCCTTTAATTTAAATCTAGAGTTACTGATTTTATGACATTTCCAATATACTTGATTAATTCTGGTATTTTTAAGTATTTTTAAAGAAATTTTAAAATTCCTTTACGTTTTAAAATATTTAGAATAAAATCCCTGAGAAAGCCATTTTAAAATAAACTCTGATTCTTTGGGGATGTCCCTGTTTAAGTACTAATTGATTTTTTCTCTTTGTTTATAATCTGAATTATCTGATGTATTTCTCATTTATTTGTGAAGTACTTTATTTTGCTTTCAATTTCAATTTTTTTTCTTTTAGGATATTACTGTAACTAAATTCAAGACTTCTTTGGATGTCACCAGTTTTTCCATCAATGTCCTCTTACAGATTTAGGATTTAATCTAGGCTACATCATTGCTTCTGATTGTTCAATTTCCACAATGTCTTAATCTGTGATTGTTTATCTCTCCTTTCTGGTTTTCATGACCTTGAAAGTCTTGAGGCATACTGGGCAGGTGTCCTGTTGAAAGTCTCCAATGGATCTGTGTTGTTTTTCTCCTGATTAGACCAGAATTATCAGTCATTTGAAATAATACCACAGAGGGAAATGCCTTTCTCATCACATCATACCAGGGAGGTAGTAATGTCCACATGGAATCTGTGATGTTAACTTTCATCATTTGGTTGAGGTAGAATGTGCCAAGTTTCTTGTACTAAAACAATGCACCTTTTTTTTTTTCACTGCACTATTTTTTTGAAAAATATCAGCAAATCTAGCCCAATCTCAATGGGAAGGTGTGAAGAAAGGATAATAATTCATCTCCACCTCCTGGGAGCACAGTATCTCCATATGTTATTTGCAATTCTGTTAAAA